>NC_000005.10:177416226-177566671 GCF_000001405.40 Homo sapiens | reverse complement strand
AGGTTCAAGCCATTCTCCTGCCTCAGCCTCCCAGGTAGCTGGGATTACAGGTGCACACCACCACACCCAGCTAACTTTTGCATTTTTAGTAGAGACAGGGTTTTACCATGTTGGCAAGGCTGGTCTCGAGCTCCTGGCCTCAAGTGATCCATTCACCTCGACCTCCTGAAGTGCTGGGATTATAGGCGTGAGCCACCACACCCAGCCAAGACACTACTTTTATCCCTGTTCTCTAGATGGTGAGACTGAGACCCAGAGAAACTGAGGACTTTCCTGGAGTCACGCAGCTAGCAAGTGGCAGAGCTTTTAACTTAACTCTGTCTGACTCCCAAGCCTTTCCACTACAATGTACAGCAGAGTGAGTCCACAGATGGCTTCAAAGAAGAAGGCACCCTTGACCTGGTCCTTGAAGGATCAGCACAAGTTTATCAGCCCTGGGAGGCATAAGGGAGAGAATCCAGAGAGTTGAGCACATCAAAGTTGTAAGATGTGGCTAAAACCCAGGGTTCAAGGTGGAGAGTGATGGGGAAAGATGCTGCTGTCAGGCAAAGTCCAGAAGGAAATACCAGGCCTGGGCTGAGCGTGGTGGCTCACCCCTGTAATCCCAGCACTTTGGAAGGCCAGAGGCAGGCGGATCACTTGAGGTCAGGAGTTTGAGACCAGCCTGGCAAACATGGCAAAACTCCGTCTCTATTACAAATACAAAAATTAGCCGGGTATGGCGGCGCATGCCTGTAGTCCCAGCTACTCAGGAGGCTGAGGCAGAAGAATTGCTTGAACCCAGGAGGCGGAGGTTGCGGTGAGCCAAGATCTCGCCACTGCACTCCAGCCTGGGCGACAGAGCGAGACTCCGACTCAAAAAAAAAAAAAAAGAAAGAAAGAAAGAAAAAAAAAATACTTGGCACTTATTCTTCAGGCAGGGGGCCTCCTGAGTTGTTGTAAGCAGGGGTGACAGGGCCAGACTTAGTGTTTCAAGATAGCACTGGGAGCAGCATCAAGACTGGTTTGGACAGTGGTTCTCCACAGTACTGTGTTTGAGAATCACCTGGAGGTTTGTAAAAAAAAAAAAAAAAAATACCTGAAATCCACCTCAAAGTGTCTGATTCAGTGGGGCTGGAGAGTGGCCCACGGATCTGCATGTCAGTCCATTTTCCAAGTTTTTATGACACAAGTGGTCACTTGAGGAAACACCAGTAATCTAGAAGGGAGAAGAAGCAAGGAGATTAGTTACCAAGCTGCTGCCAGAAGTAAATGATGAGTCCTGAACTTGAACAGTGGTGAGGAAAATGGAAACAACAGGATAACGTTTGTCTAATGTTGCCATTTGTTTTTCTTTTTCTCTAGTAATTCACATCTGCCCTCCCACCCCCGCTCTCAAATAGCTAGTCCATTCTGTGCTCATTGCACCTCAGGGGCGGGACATGACGGTGCAGAAAACAGAAACAAGAGTTCTGGTTATGATGCACTGGATTTGTTTCAACACAGGCGTGGGGAGAGAAGGTAGAGGTACAGATGAATCAAACAGGCCATGTGTGCCAGGCGCGGTGGCTCACACCTATAATCCCAGCACTTTGGGAGGCCGAGGAGGATGGATCACCTGAGGTCAGGAGTTCAAGACCAGCCTGGCCAACATGGTGAAACCCTGTCTCTACTAAAAATACAAAAATTAGCTGACCATGATGGCAGGTGCCTATATTCCCAGCTACTCGGGAGGATGAGGCAGGAGAATCACTTGAACCTGGGAGGCAGAGGTTTCAGTGAGCTGAGATCATGTCATTGCACTCCAGCCTGGGAGACAGAGCGAGACTTTGTCTCAAAAAAAAAAAAAAAAAATAGGCCATGTGCGAGATAAGATGGTGCATCCCTGTAGTCCCAGCTACGTGGGAGCCTGGGAAGTGAGGATTGCTTGGACCCAGGAATATGAGTCCATCCTGGGTGACAGAGCAAGATCTCTTCTCTTTAAAAAATGGCCAGCCAGGCACGATGGCTCACGCCTGTAATCCCAGCACTTTGGGAGGCCGAGGCAGGTGGATCACGAGGTCAGGAGATCGAGACCAGCCTGGTAACACAGTGAAACCCCGTCTACTGAAAATACAAAAAATTAGCCGGGCATGGTGGCACGTGCCTGTAGTCCCAGCTACTCGGGAGGCTGAGGCAGGAGAATAGTGTGAACCCGGGAGGCAGAGCTTGCAGTGAGCTGAGATCGTGCCATTGCACTCCAGCCTGGGCAACAGAGTGAGACTCCGTCTCAAAAAAAAAAAAGAAAAAGTGGCCATGAGTTGATAGCTGCTGAAGCTGACTGATGGTTGCATGAGGACATGGGGATTTATTACGGAATTCTGTCTATACTTGTCTATGTTTTAAAGGTCTGTAATAAAAATATCTTTAAAAATATTTCTGGATTTGGTTTCAAAAGGACTTAGAGAAAAGAAGTCTCAGACATAGCTGAAAAGTTCCAAGAAACATCAAGAGCAAGAGGAGAGGGAGGAAGGATTAGGAGAGATGCCTATTCCTCACTCTTTCCAGGTGGTAGGGCCCCACAGGCCTGCTACTTCTGCATCATGGGGAGAGAATGAGTCCTCTGATCAGTGCGTCTGGAGAATCGGGTGCATGATCTGCTCTGTTCTGCCCTTCTTCCTCTTGGGATCTCCCTGCCTACAATGGGTCCACACCCACTGCCCCTACAGGGATTCTGAGAGGGAGGCCTACCCAGCCCAGTACTGCCACAACTCAGGGGCTGCGGGGGGTGTCTGCCTAACTTGGGGGCTCAGTCATCAGCCCACACCAAGCAACATACTCTGACCTGGGGCATGACTTAGTTGGTAATAAGGCTGATATTGTGACTCCATCTGCCTTTCCTTTGCTTCATTTCCCAGTGTGTTTAGAACCCTGGTCAGGGAGACAGGGCCATCTCTTGAGGGTCTTCCAGAGACCCTAAAACAGAGGTTTCTGGAGGCTAGAGAAAAGGAAGGAAGGAAGTGAAGAAGAGAATGGAGGTAAGTGACAACAACATCTGAGGGGCCCAGAGAGGGGGCACAAAATCCAAGAGCAGAGGGAACTTATCCCAGGAAGCAGGAACAGTCAGCATGGAACGCCAATGAGGTGTGTCTAGGAGAAGACCTTAGATAGCCTCACCCAGATTCCCACAGGCAAGAATGGCTGGAGGAGGAAAGCCAGCTGTGGGGAAGAACGAGCCAGGTCTCAGCACCAACCAGTGGGGACCAATGACCTCTCCATGAATGCCTGTGGGGACAGATGACACTAAGAACTAGATTCCCCCAACACACACACTCATAAGGCCCTGAGCCCTTATGCACAGCCTCAGGGAACCCTAAATTAGCTGAGATTAAATTTCTGTCACTCCAGCAGAGTGCCAAGTGGAAATTAGGTGGAGTTATAGAAAACTTTATATTTCTTGCACACGTGGGTTTATGAACAGAGATTCATCCTAACCGGAGTAAATATTTTGGAAGCAGAATCAACAAGACTTAGAGGTCAGATGAAGCCGGAGTGGTGAACAACAGGAAGTCTCTCCTCCCTTATTTGGGAGGTTTGTTTCCTAAACACCCCAGGCAAATTCAGGTTCTTCAACACTGTCTGTGATGTTTTATTCCTTCCCCTGGTGGTGTTCCCTCATAGGGCCTTTAGTGTAGGTTTAATTGTTCTTGCCCAGTTAAGTAATAATCAGGAGTAATTACCATTTACTTTAATAATGCAATCTAGTAGCAATTTACTATTCGTAGAAAAAGAGTATCTGTTAAAAATATACCATTAAAACTTTTAATAATAGTTACTATAACATTTAGGCCTGGAAAAGATCAAGGCAAAGTCCAGCAGGCTTCACCTCCCCAGAGGGCCTTACCTGGATTTCCCTATTTCCTTCTTCCTCTGTGCCCCAGCTCCATCACCCTAGAGGAAGGTCCAATCTCACCCTGGGATTCAAGATCCCTCATACCCGACCCCATCTCTCACCCTCTGCAACCATATTTCCTCTCCTCTAAACTCCTTTTGCCCAAAGGTGCAAGCCCATTCTCAAGGTTAGAAGGAGGAGGACTGAGGAAGAGGGGATCAGAGTTGGTTTCCTCCCTCAAAAAGTGCTAAGAAATCCCTCTGTCTGGCTGAGGTCCAACTCCAGAACTCAAGGAGAGGAAGGGGCTTGGATCTGCTTTCCTCTGTGATGAGGGGGATTGGACAGATGGTGCTCAGTGACTTCCCTGGGGCTGGCTGAAGCACACACCTGTGAGGCTCATTAGCACCCAACATTACCTGTGCCGATGGGAAACAATGCTGAAATGGTAATCTAGTTTACATTGCCCTTGCAATTTCCCCTTCCTTCCTCTCCACGCGAGCAACTAGGGATTCCATGCCTGTTGCCTTGGGAGGGGAGACTAAGTCACAGGGTGGAAAGGAGGAGGCCTTGCAAACCATCCTGGATTTGGGGTTCCAAAAGCCCAAGCGCTTAGTGGCTTTCAAAACTTTTACTTGCAGTGGCGTGGTGGTTCATACCTGTAATCCCAGCACTTTGGAAGGCCAAGGTGTGTAGGGTCCAGCCCCACAGGGTCAGTGGGTTTTTCTCCCCGTGTGCAGAGACGAGAGATTGTAGAAATAAAGACACAAGACAAAGAGATAAAAGACAGCTGGGCCCAGGGGACCACTACCACCAAGACACAGAGACCAGTAGTGGCCCCGAATGCCTGGCTGCACTGTTATTTATTGGATACAAAGCAAAAAGGGCAGGGTAAAGAGTGTGAGTCATCTCCAATGATTGATAAGGTCTCGTGAGTCACGTGTCCACTGGACAGGGGCCCCCTCCCTGTTTGACAGCCAAGGCGGGGGGAGAGAGAGAGAGAGGACAGCTTACGCCATTATTTCTGCATATCAGAGACTTTTAGTACTTTCACTAATTTTGCTACTGTTATCTAAAAGGCAGAGCCAGGTGCACAGGATGGAACATGAAGGCGGACTAGGAGCGTGACCACTGAAGCACAGCATCACAGGGAGACGGTTAGGCCTCCGGATAACCGTGGGCTGGCCTGACTGATGTCAGGCCCTCCACAAGAGGTGGAGGAGTAGAGTCTTCTCTAAACTCCCCCGGAGAAAGGGAGACTCCCTTTCCCGGTCTGCTAAGTAGCGGGTGTTTTCCTTGGCACTGACACTACTGCTAGACCACGGTCTGCTTGGCAACGGGCGTCTTCCCAGATGCTGGCGTTATGGAGACCAAGGAGCCCTCTGGTGGCCCTGTCCAGGCATAACAGAAGTCTCCCACTCTTGTCTTCTGGTCACTTCTCACTATATCCCTTCAGCTCCTATCTCTGTATGGCTCGGTTTTTCCTAGGTTATGATTGTACAGCAAGGATTATTATAATACTGGAATATAGAGTAATTGCTACAAACTAATGATTAATGATATTCATATATAATCATGTCTATGATCTAGATCTAGTATAACTCTTATTGTTTTATATATTTTATTATACTGGAACAGCTCGTGTCCTTGGTCTCTTGCCTTGGCACCTGGGTGGCTTGCTGCCCACAAAGGTGGGTGGATCACTTGAGATCAGGAGTTCAAGACCAGCCTGGCCAACATGGTGAAACTCTGTCTCTACTAAACATACAAAAATTAGCCGGGTGTGGTGGCACACGCTTGCAATCCCAGCTACTCGGGAGGCTGAGGCAGGAGACTCACTTGAACCCGGGAGGTGGAGGTTGCAGTGAGCCGAGATTGTGCCACTGCACTCTAGCCTGGGGGACAGAGCAAGACTCCGTCTCAAAAAAAAAAAAACTTTTACTTGTATGTCCCCTAAAAGCAGTTAAAAACTTTTACTTGTATGTCCCCTAAAAACAGTTAAAAACTATACAACTTATGTAGCTCGTCCTGTGTCCTGCAACATAAATTATAGTGCCCAGAGCAAAATGAAAATGTGGGCCCTTTGTTCAAACATTAAGAACTTCAAGGCTGGGAGTGGTGGCTCACGCCTGTAATCCCAGCACTTTGGGAGGCCGAGGCGGGTGGATCACGAGGGCAGGAGATGGAGACCATCCTGGCTAACACGGTGAAACCTCGTCTCTACTAAAAATACAAAAAAATTAGCCGGCGTGGTGGTGGGCGCCTGTAGTCCCAGCTACTCGGGAGGCTGAGGCAGAATGGCGTGAACCCGGGAGGCGGAGCTTTCAGTGAGCTGAGATCGCGCCACTGCACTCCAGCCTGGGCGAAAGAGCGAGACTCCATCTCCAAAAATAAATAAAGAAAGAAAGAATTTGGGGGGGGGTCAGCCCCCCGCCCGGCCAGCCGCCCAGTCCGGGAGGTGAGGGGCGCCTCTGCCTGGCCGCCCCTACTGGGAAGTGAGGAGCCCCTCTGCCTGGCCAGCCGCCCCGTCCGGGAGGGAGGTGGGGGGGTCAGCCCCCCGCCCGGCCAGCCGCCCCGTCCGGGAGGGAGGTTGGGGGGTCAGTCCCCCGCCCGGCCAGCCGCCCCGTCCGGGAGGTGAGGGGCGCCTCTGCCCGGCCGCCCCTACGGGGAAGTGAGGAGCCCCTCTGCCCGGCCAGCCGCCCCGTCTGGGAGGGAGGTGGGGGGGTCAGCCCCCTGCCCGGCCAGCCGCCCCATCCGGGAGGTGAGGGGTGCCTCTGCCCGGCCGCCCCTACAGGGAAGTGAGGAGCCCCTCTGCCCGGCCACCACCCCATCTGGGAGGTGTGCCCAACAGCTCATTGAGAACGGGCCAGGATGACAATGGCGGCTTTGTGGAATAGAAAGGGGGGAAAGGTGGGGAAAAGATTGAGAAATTGGATGGTTGCCGTGTCTGTGTAAAAAGAAGTAGACATGGGAGACTTTTCATTTTGTTCTGTACTAAGAAAAATTCTTCTGCCTTGGGATGCTGTTAATCTATAACCTTACCCCCAACCCCGTGCTCTCTGAAACATGTGCTGTGTCAACTCAGGGTTAAATGGATTAAGGGCGGTGCAAGACGTGCTTTGTTAAACAGATGCTTGAAGGCAGCATTCTCATTAAGAGTCATCACCACTCCCTAATCTCAAGTACCCAGGGACACAAACGCTGCGGAAGGCCGCAGGGTCCTCTGCCTAGGAAAAGCAGAGACGCTTGTTCACATGTTTATCTGCTGACCTTCCCTCCACTATTGTCCTATGACCCTGCCAAATCCCCCTCTGTGAGAAACACCCAAGAATGATCAATAAAAAAAAAAAAAAAAGAAAGAAAGAAAGAATAAAGAATTTCAAGGAAGCGACAGCAGAGCACTGAGCCAGGCACACAGCCCTTCTGGGCGTGGAGCCCTATGTGGTGGCACAGGTTATGTATCTATGAAGCCAATCCTGCTCTCACATGTTAACATGTACAAAATACATGTTTAAACAGTTGTATGTGATACAATTTCACTATATTGTGCATTGTATACTTGTTTTAAATATATTTTATTTTCATTTTTTTAAGGGATTTTTATTTTTTTAAGGCGTCTCGCTTTGTCACTCAGGCTAGAGTGCAGTAGCATCTTTTTACCTCACTGGAGCCTCGAACTCTTGGGCTCAAGGGATCCTCATGCCTCAGCCTCCCTAGTAGCTAGGACTACAGATGAGTGCCATCACGCCCAGCTAAATTTTTAATTTTTTGTAGAGATGGAGGGTCTCACTATGTTGATTGGGCTGGTCTCAAACTCCTGGCCTCAAGTGATCCTTCTAGCTTGGCTTCCCAAAGTGCTGAGAGTACAGGCGTGAGCCACTGCACCCAGACTTTATTTATTTCTTACAGATACAGGGTCTTGCTTTATCACCCAGACTGGACTGCAGTGGCAGTGATCACAGCTCACTACAGCTTTGAATTCCTGGGCTCAAGCAAGCCTCCCAGCTCAGCCTCCTAAGTAGCTGGGACTACAGGCACATACCACCATGCCAGCTTTTTTTTCCTTTCTTTCTTTTTTGGAGAGACAGGGTCTTGCTTTGTTGCCCAGGCTAGTCTCAAACTCCTGGCTTTAAGTGGTCCTCCCACAGTGTTGGAGGTACAGGCATGAGCCACTGCGCCCAGCCTGTACTGGGCTTTAAATATATTTTCTTCCAGTTCTCAGAGCAGCATAATAAGCTAATTTAATGCATGA
The DNA here is from genome assembly GCF_000001405.40 of Homo sapiens. Taxonomy (NCBI): domain Eukaryota; kingdom Metazoa; phylum Chordata; class Mammalia; order Primates; family Hominidae; genus Homo; species Homo sapiens. The sequence goes on along the minus strand of NC_000005.10, from coordinate 177,558,572 downwards.
GAAATGTTTGTCATGACTGCTCATCAGCACTGAATGGATACAAAATGTGATACTTCCATACAATGGAATACTACTCTGCAGTATAAAGGAATGAGCTATCTAAACACGCTACAATATGGATGAATCAAAATAATTATGCTGCAGGAAAGATGCCTGGCAAAGCAGAATACATACTGTATGAAAATGCAAAATATTCTGTAGAAACAGAAGGCAGATCAGTGCTGCCTGGGGAGAGAGGAAGAAGTAGGAGGGAAGGATTATCCTCTGGGGGAACCATACAGTGGAATTCTCCCCAATGGCGCGTGAGTAAAAGTGATGTATATTCATTTCTGGGTACAGCTCATAGAAATGTCCCATGCAACCCTCACTTTTTTGCCTTTCCCATCCTCTGGATGAATGAAGAGGACTTTGAGAGCCGAGGTGAAGACAGAGCCACAAGATCCAAGGAGACTGGATCCCTGAGTGACTGCAAAGTCCCCTTCAACAGGCATTGGCCTGCGACACGAGGTAGACGAGATCTAAGGTGTTAAAACTCTTGCTATGTGAGGTTGGTTTGTTACAGCAGCTAACCAGCCCTAATACATAGTCCAAAGTAATCATCCTGCTAGAAGAGAGTCAGGTGTGCCCCTCAGAGTAAGGTTCCACACGGACCTCTGGCTGGTTCCTGCAAATTGGACTCAGCACTGAGAGTAGATAGGTCAGCCAGCCTCAGGGAGGAGACAGTCCAAATTGCTGAGCCAGTTTTCTCATGCAGCCATTGAATAAGTTCTTAAATAGCTGGGAAGAGACAGTCTGACAGCCACAGAAGGGGCCATACTGCCCATCGGACTTTTAAGAGGTTCTTTTGATGAACGTTCATCTGGGACACAAATAGCCTTATGTTCTGAAGCCATTCTGGACAATCTTTCCACATCTGTCATCCTCAGAACTTCCTGTCACTAAGCCTGCAGTCTTTTTTTCCCTCAAGTCCCTCAACAACAGAGTAAATCATGATCCAATGGCCAGGAATTGATGTGTCTTTATTTCAGGGTCTTTGCGTGGATTTCCCTTTTCTGTGCCCTTGGGCCCTGTCTGAGGAAGACTAGAACACTCTAGCAATTTGCTTCTGGCTGGAGCCAGCACACCATGCAGAGCCATCTGCAAACTGGACTTTGGATTTTTCTTCCTTAGTCAACTCATCATTAAACCGTTCATGAAACCACTGATCCAGGTTGAAGGATGGAATGGAGAAGAGGGTGGCAGCAGAGGAATGTAAGTAACTTGCTCTGGCAACCTACTTGTGCTTTAGGACTTGCATGGACCCAACCCACACATGTCACTTCCTCTCGATGACAGGGTGTTGCTGAGCACCCCTGATTTTATGGCTGAGTAGATCAGATAACACTCAGTTCAGGTCACGTGGTCACCTAGTAGGCCAGGATCAGGCATCCAATTTCACCAGACCCCTGAAGCAAGCCAGGAGCTATTTCTAAAATGGAATATAACTATTTGCTGAAGGAAAGCATAAGTTTGCTCCAAAATCCAATGCTTGAGTATTAAGACCAAAGCCAGAACTATTTACTCTGCAGCCTGGTCCACTAAGAAAAGTTTCTCTTTTTGTATGATCCTGCCTTAAAGTTGGCAGCTTTCAAGTGACCCAGTAACTGGTCAAAATAACGTACCTAAGTACAGGCCGGGCGCGGTGGCTCATGCCTGTAATCCCAACACTTTGGGAGGCTGAGGCCGGAGGTTCAGGAGGTCAGGAGTTCGAGACAAGCCTGACCAACATGGTGAAACCCTGTCTCTACTAAAAATACAAAAATTAGCTGAGCATGGTGGTGCGCGCCTGTAACCCCAGCTACTCCGGAGGCCAGCAGGAGAATCACTCAAACCCGGGAGGCAGAGGTTGCAGTGAGCAGAGATCCCGCTACTGCACTCCAGCCTGGGTGGCAGAGATTCCATCTCAAAATAATAATAATAATAATAATAATAATAATAATAATAATAATAATAATAATGTATCGAAATACATCTATGTTACCTACCAAGTCTAAAGAAGCCCCAGCCCAAGTATTGCACCTCTTCCCTAGTAGGGAGTGTGATCTACAGCAGCTTTCCCTTCACTTTGTACGAAATATCTCAACATATCCCAGACTCCTAGATGGCTTACTGCGAGGCCCCTATATATTTGTGAGATTTATTATCCATCCTCTGGCACACACATCATGCCTTACCAAATCATCCAGGATATCTGCTATTCCCTTTTCTTAAGGTCCATCAAGATGATGTCATCAGTGCCTCAGCAGATTAGCCTGATATCCATTAGAATGGAGATTTAGTAAAAAAAATCCCTGTAAACTGGCAGGGTGCAGTGGCTCCGCCTGTAATCCTAGCACTTTGGGAGGCCGAGGCAGGTGCATCACCTGAGGTCAAGAATTCGAGACCAGCCTGGGCAATACGGGGAAACCCCGTCTCTACTAAAAATACAAAAAAATTAGGGGGCGTGGTAGCATGTGCCTCTAATCCCAGCTAATCTGGAGGCTGAGGCACGAGAATCCCTTGAACCCAGGAGGCGGAGGTTGCAGTGAGCTGAAATTGCGCCACTGCACTCCAGCCTGGGAGATAGAGTGAGACTCTGTCATTAAAAAAAAAAAAAAAAAAAATCCCTGTAAACTAAGTGGCTGGGTCCAGAGTGTGACATACCCTGAAGCAAGACAGTGAGGGTTTACCGCTGCCCCTGCCAGATCAATGCAAGGGATTCCTGGTGTTTGGTACAGAAGAATAACCATTGACCAGACCTCTTGTTGCCTATTAGAGACCAACAACTGTGCTGATCTGTCCCAAGAAGGACCGCATCTGGAAGAATGCCTGCAGTTGGGGTTCTTACCAGAATAAGTAAGTTTATCATAATGCTCTGTTGTTCTTCAAGGCCGTCTCTCTTCTGTTCTGGGCAAACTGAAGAGGTAATGGTGATGTGATGGGACTCACCCTGCGTCTTTCAAATCTTTGATAGTGGCATTAATCCCTGGGTGAGATAAGGTACTATTTTTGATTTATTTTCTTGGTAGTTAAGGAGAGCTCCAGGGCCTTCCATGTAGCTCTTCCTTTCAAAATAGCCCTTGCCCCATGGGTTAGGAAGCCAGTGTCAGGATTCCGCCCCTGTTGATACCAATAGCAACTCTGCATATAACCACAATTTCAGAGTACATAGCCCAGGCATGAGACAGACTTCACTCAAAACTTTTTTTTTTTAATCTGTGCCATGTACATGTATTATACAGTATATTCACAAAAAGAGGGGGGAAATTCCATTTTTAACAATTAAATACATAATTATTAAGTTTTAAAAATTCTCCTTTGTGTACCACTCCAAAATCCTCTCCTGCACATACTATTTTTTTGGAAACACCTAGTCGTCTCATCGTTATCACACCGGTTGTAACTATGTACCTACGTGTCTACCTTCCCCATCAGACTCGGGAACAAGGAGTCGGGTTTGAGTCCCACTGTCCCAAGCACAGAACGCTGGACTCCCAGTAGACCATATGTTGCAAATAAAGACCTTCGTCCCTTTCAACTCAGGCCGTCCACGAGCCCAGGAGTTCCAACAAAATGATGTACAGCAACCTTTTCCAGGCCTTTATGTTGCCTCAATATTTCTCACCTGCAAAATGGGAATGATCCGTACCTGCCTCGCTGTGCTGTCGGAAGGAGTCAGACGATGGGTGTGAAAGTATTGTAACACTATAGAAATTAATTCACTCATCCATTTAACAGGCAATTATTAAGTGCTAGGGTGGTGCAGCGCGATTACCACCGCATTACACGCGTTCCTCCAGCAGGTTGCATCCTTCCCGTCCCGCGTAGGGGGGGAAGGGCGTCTCCCCACCAAGTTTTTCTCCCAGCGAACTCCGGGTGGTGACCTTATTCAAAATGGCGCAGGCGGCCTCGGGGGCTAGTGCGGCGGCGCGGACTCCGCGTGCCCTCTGACCTGTTGGCAGCAGGCGGAGGGGGGGAACCGGGCGCCGCCATATTGGCTGTTGTCCTGTGAGGGGAGCGGTAGCGGCGGCGGCGGCGGCGGCGGCGGCGGCGGCGGCGGCGGCGTGTGGAGCGAGGGAGCGGCGCGAGCGGCGGCATGACGCGGAGGCGGAGCAGGCCGAGCGGCGGTGCGGGCAGGCGCGAGCGGGCTCGGGCCGCGGGGCCGCAGAAGCCCCAGGCGCCCGAGCCCCCGCCGCCGCCAAGCCTGGAGGCGGGAGCGGGTGCAGGCCCTCCGGAGGCGCCGGCGGAGCCCGACCACGACGGCCCCAGGGAGGATGACGAACCCAACCTGGTGCCCGGCCCGCAGGTAGGAGCGAGCGGGGAGACTTCGGCGGCTCGGGCGCTTTCACCTTCCCCGAGCGGGAGCGGGAGTGGGGCGGGGTTGGGGATGGGCCATCCTGCCGCGGCTGGGGTAGCAGCCTTCCCCCGGGTCCGGCGCCGAAGCTTTCTCCCCCGGGGCGGGAATGGAGGCTGGACCCCTCTCCCCAAAGCCGAGGCTCGGTCCGCGCTCCTGCGACTAGGCTGAAGCTGCTCCCCTCTCCCCGCCGCCTCCGGGCGTTCCGGCCGTACACCCACACTGGGACTGGGACTGGGACTGGGCTGTGATCCCGAGGCCGCAGCTCCGCTCTCGGCCCGCCACCTCCCCCGGGCCCACCTGCTCCCTCAGCCACAGGCCATCTCGGGGCTCTGGGACTGGACGACTGCAGCCTCTTCCCTCTGCCCCCGGGAACGGCTCCACTCCGTCCCCTGCAGCGCCTGCAGCCGCGGCCCCCTCAGCAGCTGTGTCTCCTGGCGCCTCCTCGCCATACCCAGCAGAGCAGTTGGAGCAGACAGCCAGGCTGCCCGGAGGAGTTTTTGGTGGGGTTTCTGCACTGAGGTGGAAACCCAGCAGAACCTGCCCTTCTTCCCTCCCCTGCTCCGCAAGGCAGCCCACCCCGACCTTGAGATCCCAGGTTTGGAGAATCCTGCTGAGAGCGAACAGTAGGAGGATTCCCCAAAGCTTCCAGCTTGCCACCTGGAAGAAGGTCACTTTCTTTTGAGCAAAGGAGATAACGGGAGGTACCCTGCCAAAGTTCACTGAGAGGCGGGGGTGACATGGGCCACGGTTGCTCTGGGAGGGTTGTGGCACTCGGGGCTGGGTGGCTCTCCCTAAGCTTGCTCTGACAAAAGAGTTTTGAGTTGGTCTTTTGGCTGAGCCTGCCCAGGAAGGCAGGCTCCTGCAGGAGTCTTGGAGGGTCGGATGCGGCGCCGGATGAGGATGAGGCGTGGCGGAAGATGCGTTTGGCTCTGCAGACACTGCATCGGGCAGCAGGGGACTCTGGGAGGCTGGTGCAGCCAGAAGGCATGGCTCTTGACAGCCTTCTAGTAGAATCTCTGGAATTGTGCATGTGAGTGGGGTTGCCGTTTGGGGTACCTTCCCACAAAGCCTCCCCTGACCTCCCCAGTTGCGTCAGGTGCCCTCTCTGTGCCCACAGCCCTCTGTGCCTCCCTCTGGTAGCACTCCCCTTTCTGTGATGAAACATTGTGTTGATATGTCTGTTGCCTGCCCTGGACTGTGAACTCCACAGGGACACAGGCTATGCCATCTTTCTCTGATCTTCCACGCCTCGCCCAGGGCCTTGCTAACACAGAATAAAAATAACTAGGTGAATGAGAGAGAAAATGAATCGGTCCAGAACCCGTGCTTATTGTAACCCAGTTTTCATGCTGATTTCCTTTGTGTCTCAGATCACAATAAGGTTTTTAATTAATGAAAATGTCAGCACTTACTGAGTGTCAGAAGCTCCACCTTCATCCGCATCCCCATCTCCTATCCTAGGCTGACACTTCCGTAGGAGACTCCCCAGGTTGGACCCCCAACCCCTACTGGGTCTAGCTTCCAACCCCAAAGCTGCTTCCCCCACCAGCCTACTCTGGGACCCCCGTGGGAGTGCTGTTATCCAAAAAGGGAGAGTGGGAGAAGGGAGAGCTGGAAAGCTGTTGTCTTCTCTTCTTCCCATTCAGCAGACCATAGAATACTTCAGGGTCTCTGCCACATAGAGATGCCAAAAAGCTTGGATGATGGCTCAACCATTCAGTTTTTATTAAGGACACAACTTTGCCAAGAGCTCTAAGCTTCATCAATTTCTTTGACATCTAGGTTCCTACCATGTTCTTACCTACTCCACTACTTGACCTGCTGATTCATTTATTTGTGCCAGGCACTTTACATACCTTACTTCTAATCTTCCCACCTCACCTGTATTTCTCCGCAGCGTTTAGCACAAATATGATGAATTGACCATTGATGTGATTATTTGTTTTTATTTGTGAACTCTGCGAGTTCAGGAGCCATGTCAGTCACCATTGTACCCCTGTGCCTGGTGGTTAACAAATATTGATCAACAAACTGGAGGATATAATTATCATTACTCCATTTTTCAGATGAAGAAACAGAAACTCAGAGCAACTAAACATTTGCCCAAATGACTCCAACTGTAGGTGTCAGACAAAAGAAAAGAAAAGGACTTTTAGGTACTTTGGGGGATTTTCAACAAGGCATTTTTTTTTAAACTATAGCCCCAAAGAAGGGAAACAAACTGGTAAATTCGGTTCTAGTTATGCCCCACTTTGACCGGGGGTGGGGTCTGGAAGCAGGCTTTTGTGCCCTGGTGCAAAGCACCTAGTGTAAGGGTAGGGTTCAGTCATTGCTCTGCCTACAAGCGTGTTTTTGGTGAGGAACTCTGGCTCCCATTGCCACTCATAACCCTGTCTTACATCTACAGAGTGGATAAGGAAGATGAAACTCAGTGTCATATACCAAACTGAATCCAAAGGTGGCAAATAAGACCACTTCCAGTCCACAGGCTTGTTGTAATGCCCCAGCTCACATATTGTTTTGTTTCTGTTTTTATTTTCATTTGAGCCAATATTTTAAAGATCAAAAGGTTTCCCACACATTTGGATTTGGGGCTCTTTTTTAAACTAAAGATATGGTGATGCTGGGTCCACTTTTCCACAAGGCAGTAATCAGTAGTCTCTGAGTAGCATTTGGCCCTTTTAGACAGCGTATGCTCCTTAGGCATCTTTGGTTCTTTCCAGGCCCCTTCACTCATTGGCATAACCTGTACACATTTAAAGCAGGACCTTGAGTTTAATTGGGATCCCAAATGGCTTTCAATTGTTTCAGGCCACTAAACCACATTGATCTGTTTCCTAACAACCCAAATCCTCGTTTATAGCACAAGAAGGCTGAAACAGTTACTACCTTATTAGCAAAGGAAAACAAAACAAACAAAAAAAAAAATAAAGAACAACTGAAAAAGCAATTGTAGGAGGCAGTGGGGAATAGTGTTTAGAGACTTGGATTGAATTCCCAGCTTAGCCTCCTAGCTTTGTGACTCCGCAAGTTGCTTCTCTCTGACCCCATCAGGAACTTCACAAGAGGCCTTGGTGGCTCACGCCTGTAATCCCGGCACTTTGGGAGGCTGAGGCAGGAGGATCTCTTGAGGCCAGAAGTTTGAGACCAGCATTGGTGACATAGTGAGATCTCTGGTTCTATAAAAAAAAAAAAATCAAAACTTAGCTGGGCATGGGTTCACACCTATAGTCTCAGCTAGTTGGGATGCTGAGGCGGGAGGATTGCTTGAACCCAGGAATTAAGTTACCCAGGACTTCATGTGCACGCCACTGCACCCCAGCCTGGGGGAGAGAGGGAAACACCGTCTCCTTTTAAAATAATAATAATACTTCACAAGAGAAGCAACCTATGCAGCAGCTAGTACATAGAAGCGCCTCACCTAAGAGAGGGGGCAGGAGCTGTGCCAGGTGGCCATACAAAGCCTGAGTGTTCTGGCCTGTTAGCTCTGCTAGCTGTCTTTCATCTCTCTTGGACCACTGAGTTTGTAATCCAGTGTACACTCAATAAGCCCCCAGGAGACTTGCTAGGATGTAAGCCAGCAGTTGGTGAGGAGAGGTGAACTCATCCTACCCTTCCCCACCTCTTGTTCCCTCCACATTGTCCTCTGGGACTTTGCCCAGTCTAGTTTAAAGGGACTCTAGAGATCCGATTCTTCCACTGTTCCCTCAAGAAATTGGAGCAGATGATTAGTCAGTATCTTTAATAAAAGCATCTCATTATGTTTAATTCACTCAGCAGATACCAAAACCACCTCTGTGCCAGGACCTTTATTTGGGGTGCACAGATGGATAAGATAGTTCCTATCTTTGGGGACCTCCCCCTTAGAATCAGTGCCTACCCAGCCTGCACTACTTCCATTGTCAGTAGGAGGAAATGATACTGAGGGGATCCTTGCCACCTCTGGTTCTTCTTTGTAAGCCAGTAGAGACTCACTATATAAAAATGTCAAAAGACCTTTGAAAATGAAGACTTACCCACTTAGGATTTTAATTTTTTTTTTTAATTTAGAGATAGGATCTTGCTATGTTGCCCAGGCTATCCTCAAACTCCTGGACTCAAGTGATACTTCTCCTTAAGCCTCCCAAATAGCTGGGACTACATGTGCATGCCACTACACCCAGCTGAGTTTTAAATTTTTAATTTTTGATATCAGATGGATGATCCTAACACCTTTACTTACCTCATCTAGAATTTTTTAGAGCAGGGTCTATGTTTTAATTTATTTGGGGGGAAATATATTGTGTGTGGACCTTATATACTCAATACATGGCTGTTAAAAATTATAATAAGTAAGGATTCTACCACTTTGTTCTTGTCTGCCCCCACAACTGGGCCAGGCTGGCAGTTATTCATTTAGGCCAGCCATTCGCATGCTGTGATGCCCAGTTTTATTTCACATGGCATTTATTGTGCAGACACTAACCGATCCCAGCTCTGTGCCAGGCCTGGGCTAGCTGCGCATGCAGAAGTGAATCAGACATAGTCCCTTCCCACAAGGGGCTCATAGTCTAGAGAACGTGTGTATAGTAATTGCAGTAATGCTAGAAGGAGATATAGCATCGGCTTCCTCTGAATAAAGGTTCAAATCCTGGACCCTATTAAGTGGCCTTTGCAAGTGTTTCAGCCTCTTGGTTTGTTTTCTCATGTATAAAATGACAATCCAGGCTGGGCGCGGTGGCTCATGCCTGTAATCCCAGCACTTTGGGAGGCCGAGGCGGGAGGATCACGAGGTCAGGAGATCGAGACCATCCTGGCTAACACGGTGAAACCCTGTCTCTACTAAAAATACAAAAAAATTAGCCGGGCATGGTGGCGGGCACCTATAGTCCCAGCTACTTTGGAGGCTGAGGCAGGAGAATGGCGTGAACCTGGGAGGTGGAGCTTGCAGTGAGCCAAGATCGCGCCACTGCACTCCAGCCTGGGCGACAGAGCGAGACTCCTTTCTCAAAAAAAAAAAAAAAAAAAAAAGAAAAGACAATCCAGTCTTACATGGTTAATGTTAGGGTCCAACAAGTGCGGTATGCTTAACACAAGTGGTAGCTCTGAGTATTGTAGATATTTGGTGTCAGGGTTGCCCAAGACATAACCTAGAGGAAGATGGGTCAGAGAATGCTTCTCAGAGCTGAGTCTTCAAGGTTGTGTAGAAGTTCTCCAGAGGACAAGGTGGTAGAAAGGAGTCTAAACAAAGGAAGGAACTTGTACAAAGACCCAGGGCGAGCACCACTCATTTGGAGAGTCGGGAGAGATCCGGCTGAAGGGGCTAGCAGGGTTCTTGAAAACCACACCAAGAGGTTTAGGCTTTATCCTGTAGGTGGTGAAGAATCAATGAAAGGTTTTAAGCAGGAAAGAGAACGTGATGTGCTTCAATACATTCTCTGATAGCATGTGAGGAAGTAATTCTCAGTGGGAGAGACAGCTGTGATTGCTTGATTCCACCTCTCCCTTGCCCCAAGCTAATAATCATCAGATCCCCTGTGCTTTGCTGGACCCTATCCCAGACTTACAGAGTCAGTCTCCAGGTCTGGATCCCAGGTATCTATTGTTGAATTGTTCCCAAGTGACTCTGACATGTGACTGGGTCTGGGAGCTGCTGAATTGAGGGTGCCAGGGGGATCTTTGAGGAGACCTAGGGTATTCTTCAAACAGTGGGTTTCCCAGGGAGGAGCTTTTCCATAAACAAGAACAGAAACAACCTTAGTTTAAAACAGAACAAAAAACCTTCCCCCAGTTCTGATCTATTAATGATATTTGCCAACTTCCATTGTGTATAATCTTCCATTGTGTATCCAAACACTTACCTGTGCCTACTCTGTGCTACAGCTTCTGCTGAATGACTGCAATACAGTGACTTGTGGGACACAGGCTCTGCCCTTGAAAAGCTCACAGTATTGTGGAAAGGACAGATTTCAACCACTAGAATATATATGATAAGCTCTATTCTAGAGATACGTTTTTAAACAAAAGAGTGTTAGGATATCCTAGAGCAAAGCCAAGTTCATTCTTCCTGTGGACTTAAGAGGATGTAACACCCAGATCGAGCCTAAAAAAAAGAGAAGAAAAAGGCAGAAGGAACAGCATATGGGAAGGTGTGACTACTTTATGTATTTGGTCCTTCTTGGCAGGATGTGCAGAAGCAGAGAAGGACTGAGGAGAGGCATGCTATGTCTTGGGAAGGGCCCTGTGTGTGTGCCTTCGGTTCTGTGCCTGTGAGCCTGCCTTCATCCTTCAGACTCTGGGTGGCTCCCAGCACAGCAGCTGCATGGTTGTGCAGCCTGTGGGCCAACATGCTGCAGTCCATCTCCCCTTCATTCTCCACCAAAGGCCCTTAGCTCCCTTTATTATTTCCCCCTCCATGCTTAGGATGCTTAGCACAAGTGGTAGCTACGAGTAGATCTATCTACTGTGAAAAATGATGTAGGGAAACTAAAGCAGAAAGAAGGGGCTGGTGGAACTGCAAACACTGAAGGTTTTATTAGGAAGTTATAGCCAGAAAACAAGGAGCTGGGGGTTCAAAGAGGCCTTGAAGTCACTTGTCTAGTCCTTCTGTCCTTTGCTTCAAGAAATAAATTTGGGGCCGGGCGCGGTGGCTCACGCCTGTAATCCCAGCACTTTGGGAGGCCGAGACGGGAGGATCACGAGGTCAGGAGATCGAGACCATCCTGGCTAACACGGTGAAACCCCGTCTCTACTAAAAAATACAAAAATTAGCCGGGCATGGTGGCGCGTGCCTGTAGTCCCAGCTACACAGGAGGCTGAGGCAGGAGAATGGCGTGAACCCGGGAGGCGGAGCTTGCAGTGAGTCGAGATCGCGCCACTGCACTCCAGCCTGGGCGACAGAGCGAAACTCCGTCTCAAAAAAAAAAAAAAAAGAAATAAATTTGGTTTGGGCAAGTCTCACTTAGTAAGTTTCCCTGTCATTTCTTCCAGGGCAGAAGAGGAAAGAAACTAACGGGTATTGAGCACCTACTTTGTGCCAGGCCCAGGCCAGGTACTTTACATAATTTATTTCCTTCTGTCCTCACAACTCTGTAAAATATGGTTTTATTCCCATTTCATAAATGAGGAAATTGAGGCTCAAAGAAATTGAGTAATATTCCAAGATCATATTGAAAATGGCAACTGGGATTTGAACTCACAACTGTGTGTCTCGTCCCCAAAATTCATGCTCTTCCTCCTCCATGAGTAACGTGTGCTGGGGTTAGAGTAGCAGAGTGGCAGTTTGACCTGAGGATTCAGGTAAATCTGCGGCTTGGGCCCTCCTTGTGGCTCATTGCACCCAGGAGGCAGTTCAGCGGATGAGCTAGCCTTGTGGGGATATTAAAACAGAAAGTTTTAGGGTTAAGGTCACTAGGATCAGAGAGACTCACTCCCAACCGAGCTTGTACAACCAGAAAGGATTCTCCACTGACTAGTCTCGTAGTGTGAAACAGCTGTTCTACCTCCTGGAAGGGCCTGAGCCCACAGCCTGCATGGAAGTTTGGGTAACAGCTCCAGGGCACTGAGGTGGGGTTGTGTCAGCTCTCTTAGAATTAACTGCAGCTCTGATTGTCAGCATTAGAATAGTCTGAGATTCTTCTCACTGATTGCCCTCTCATCAGTGGCTCAGAGTGACTCATAGCATGTTGGGAAATGCACTGTTTTGGCTCTGTTTTAAATTCTGCCTTTGTGTTGAACAGCTGAGACATGAGCCAGATGGGCTTTAAGCTTTCATTTATTTATTCAGTGAATGCCTGCAATGTGTCAGGCCCAAGCCAAGCCTAGGTTCCTGGGCATACTTAAATGACCAAGGTCCACACACTGCCCCCAGAGGGCTCACATTCTACCAGGAATTTAGGAACAGACAGAATACATCTGTGGCACATTTTGATGATGCTATACTAAATAGAATCAGTTGTGCTTAGCTTGACCAGCAAGAGCTTCATTGACCTTTGACCAGAATCTTAGGGAATGAATAGGAATTGTCAAGGGTAGATGTTTCCCGGCACTTAGCACAATTGGCAGGAGACAGGGACTCTGACAATGTTGAATGAGGGAATAAATGGGTGAATGGAAGAGTGACTGATGATAACTATGACAATGAGTTTTTCTAGGCTGAGGATTAATCATTTTCTCTGCTTCTGAAAGGGAATTTTAGCTGCTGGTGTTGTCCTCTGCCTGCCTTGGTGACAGAGAGGCTCTTGGAGTTGGGTGCCTTGAGAGTAGAGTGCTCTAATGGGCCATTTCAAAATAGAATTTGGGACCTGTTGCAGGGCAGCTGGTTAGATACAGCATGTGTCTTGGGGCAATCCTGTACGAACATACACAAACTCTGGAGATGAAAAAGAATCCATGGGATGAATGAGGCCACGCTGAGTGCTGGAAATTCAATCCAGCTTCAGAGTAGTCCTTGACAGCTGTCTGGTCTGGCAATGGGTTATTCCCAAATTGTGGACAGAAAGGCCAAGCTAGAAAATTGAGTCATGCCCCCAGAGAGCTATCTTTTTTTTTTTTTTTTTTTGAGACAGGCTCTCACTGTTACCCAGTTTGGAGTACAATGGTGCAATCTTGGCTCACTGCAACCTCCGTCACTTGGGCTTGAGCAATCCTCCAACCTCAGGAGACCTTATATATTCCTAAAAATTATTGAGGAACCCAAAGAGCTTTTGTTTGTGTTGTTTATATCTATTGATACTTACCAAATTAAATATTAAAGCTGAGAAAGCTTTAAAATATTTTGTCACTAATTTATTTAAGAAAGACAATATTAAAGCTATCTTGTTAACATAACAATTTTTAATGAAAACTATATTTTCCAAAACAAAATTAGAAGAATGGCCAGGTGTGGTGGCTCATGCCTGTAATGCCAGCACTTTGAGAGGCTGAGGCAGGCGGATCACTTGAGGTCAGGAGTTCAAGACCGGCATGGCCAACATGGTGAAACCCTGTCTCTACTAAAAATATAAAAATTAGTCAGGCGTATTGGCAGGCGCCTGTAATCCTAGCCACTTGGGAGGCTGAGGCAGGAGAACCGCTTGAACATGGGAGGTGGAGGTTGCAGTGAGCTGAGATCATGCCACTGCACTCCAGCCTGGATGACAGAGCGAGATTTCATCTTAAAAAAAAAATTAGAAGAATGGTCTTCTTTTCATTTTTGCAAATTTCTTTTCATCTGGCTTAATAGACTAAAGCTGGCTTCTCATATATGCTTCTGTATTCAGTCTTTTGCAATACATTGTTTTGGTTGAAGTATATGAAAAAAAATCCAACCTCACACAAATATGTAAGTGAGAAAGGGAGGAATGTTTCAGTAGCCTTTCCAAATAATTTCCATTATTGAATTTGAGCCCATATCAGTGAAGTCTTCATACTCATTTACACTAAAATCTATTGGTCGAGCCAGTGCTTTGAATCCATCATGCTTTGGTCATTTGGAAAATAGGCTCACTGGATTTTGCACATCTTCCAAATGTTTTCCATTTCATTTTACAATGCCAAAAGATAACATTTGTTAATATCACCACCAATTTCATCAGAAAAGTCTTCAAGTATTTGGAAGCTGTCAAACTCATGGTGGTAGATGCAAGTTTCAGAATTTTAATTTTCACTTGAAAGCTTGCATTTTATATCATTGCCCACAAATACTGTCAGTTGTTTTCCTTGAAGTGACAGGCTCATTTTATTCATTGTTCATTTTTTTGAGAAAATGTCTGCCAATACCCAAGTCTAAATAGTAAGTCATTCTTTCAGTTAAAAAATGGTGTTCCATGAAAAAAAGTGGCTTCCTCTTCCTTTGATTTTATCTCTCTTTTATCCAGGAAAAACTAGAATGCCCTAACTTAATGCTTCTCAGGCCAAGACAAAAAAGTCTTGGGCCTGATCTGGTAAGGGAGCAGAGATAATGGTTTTAATGGCTACAGATGCCAGCCCCCTAGGCCCTAGAGTGCACCTAGAGCTCACTTGGCCCCTTCACTGCTCTGGGGATGTGCATGCTACAGCATGGATCCCTTGTGAGTAATCTCACACTCTCCAGAGATTCTGGTTATGCTTAGAGTGAAGAAAAATTATCTTGGAGCTTTTTTGAGGAGATCCCAAATCAGTAGAACCCCCAGAACTTTTCTTCCCTCATCTTTTGCCTAAGGCTAGACCTGCATCCTCAGAGGCTCTGAAATTTAAACTGAGGTGAGCAGGAACAATGGGCTGCTGCCCAGGGCTGCTGGATTCAAGAATCAGTTCCATCAGCCTTTGTGATGAAGAAAAATGGTTGGAGTTTTCATTCATTGGATGAACATTTACTGATCTCTTCTTTGTGTAGGAATACTGTGCCAGGTGCTAAAAGTACAGCTTGGGAGCAGCTGATTGAAAGTCTGGGTTGACCGACTTTTCAGGGCATAAGGGGTCATGAATGCCAGAATTTGGGAAATGGCAGCAGATCACAGTCAAAGGGAACTCTGAACCAAGAGCTGTTCTCTGCCAAAGCAAAAATTTGAAGGAACCAGTGGCATTACTGACTATAAATATAACATCTCTAGGGCTTGGGATTCTTATCACCCTCTAGCAATTAAAGTGGAGATGAAAGTAGCAGAGGAAAGTTCCCAGTTCCACAAGGCATCATACCTAGGGGCAGGCGCCATGGCCTAGAGTTCAGACATCAGCTTTAGGGGTGGCCCCTCAAACTGCCTGGGCCTCAAAGAAGGACTCAAGTGTACCAAACTCAGAGAGGACAGTGGATAAACTAGTCTTCAATGTAGACTTAGAACAGAACAGCCAAGGGGCTTAGATAATAGATTGAGTGCCTGCAGCCTGGATCCCTTGAGCTAAGTGCTTTGTATCTCTAATGTGACTTAATCCTGTGGGCAGCTTTATGCAGCATGGGTGGTATCATCACTCAGTTCTGTGGGCAGCTTCAATTAGAGCTTAATTAGCTTTTCAGGCCCTGTGTTTCTTGCTTTAACTAGGAAGACAACCTATCCTGTAAAGTCACTTCTAGTGATGGCTAATCTCATTTATTTTGTGTACCA
The DNA here is from genome assembly GCF_000001405.40 of Homo sapiens. Lineage (NCBI taxonomy): Eukaryota > Metazoa > Chordata > Mammalia > Primates > Hominidae > Homo > Homo sapiens. The sequence goes on along the minus strand of NC_000005.10, from coordinate 177,543,158 downwards.
TTTTGGCTCTCGGGAGAGTCACATTATTTCCATTAACTGGGGGCATCTCATTATAATCCCTAAAGAATGCAGTCTTTTACTCTTAACGCGGTTAAGATTGGAACCATTCTGGAGGTCAGGTGGACAGATGGGCCTTTCTCTGTAGGCAGCAGTAATTTCAAGCAGTGTCTCATTGGACTGCCTGCCGGCTGCATTGCCATGGGGACACCTAGCAAATCTGAGTTCTCTACCACATGGCCCACTGAGTCCATGCCTGAAGCCAGGCCCTGTGCTGCACTGTGAGGGATCCAGACAGGAATCAGACCTGGCACCTGCCTCTTGTAGAAGGGATGGAAGATACAGGAAAATAAATTGTGCAGAAGACACAACTACTGTAACCAAGGCACAGTGTACTAGGAGGAGATGGGAGAGGAGAAGTGAATTACGAGAGGAGAAAGCCTAGAGGAGGTTGGACTTAAATTGAGCCTTTAGTCTCAGCTAGTCATTGGAAAAACATGAGAAGAAAGTGGGTTTTAAGCAAGGAATCACCTTTAGCGAAAGCATGAAATAGAAAAAGGCAGAGATTATTTTGGGAACTTAGGGAATGACTTCATGGGGTTGAGGGGAGAGATTAAGATTTCTAACAAGTCAGTTTAGATTCATCATATATGAGAGACTCACGTTTGTGTAAAATGCAGTGACCATTTATTGTTTCCTATTGTTCCTGTCGTGTTAATGATGAATACCATGTGTTCAGCAACATCTATGTGCCTAGCACTGGACTAGGTGCTTTGTCACATTTATTTCTCACAGCTGACCCTACAAATTAGGACTTAATCCCATTTTACAGATGAGCAAACAGAGAGGGTAAGTAGAACTAGCCCAGCATCTTACAGCTGGTAAGTGATAGAGGCCAGGATTAATGCCAAAGCCAGTGTTGTTTCCACTGCGCCCCAGTGCCTTCCACAAGTACTTTGGCACTAAGTGCAGTCACACTGATTACACACTTAATTTATAAGAATTGTGTATTTGCTTTTAAAAACAGAAAACACACGTATCATACGTTTTATTACACATTTGAATTGTCGGTTATAACTACAAAACCATATACAGTCATTCCTCCACATCTGTGGATTCAACCAATTGTGGATAGAAAATATTCAAGGAAAGAAAAGGATGGTTGTGTCTATACTGAACAAGTATAGACTTTTTGCCTCGTCATTATTCCCTAAACAATACGGTATAGCAGCTATTTACATAGCATTTACACTGTATTAAATATAAGTAATCTGGAGATTGTGGGAGGGTGTGCATTGGTTATATACAAATATGACACCATTTTATATCAGAGATTGGAGCATCTGCAGATTTTGGTATCTGGGGGGTGTCCTGGAACTGATCCCCCATGAGTACTAAGGGATGACTGTATATTGTGCTTTATAGGCCACATAAAGAATTTCAGGCTGGGCACAGTGGCTCACGCCTGTAATCCTAGTACTTTGGGAGGCCGAGGCGGGCGGATCACGAGGTCAGGAGATTGAGACCATCCTGGCTAACACCGTGAAACCCCGTCTCCACTAAAAATACAAAAAAATTAGCCGGGCGTGGTGGCGGGCACCTGTAGTCCCGGCTACTCGGGAGGCTGAGGCAGGAGAATGGCGTGAACCTGGGAGGCGGAGCTTGCAGTGAGCCGAGATCGTACCACTGCACTCCAGCCTGGGCGACAGAGCGAGACTCCGTCTCAAAAGAAGAAAAAAAAAAGAATTTCGAGAATAACTATACAAGATTTTAATTGTATGTACTGACTTTCGAACCTAGCATGCAAATGAAATGAAACCGTTGTAGTAAAATTACATGTCTTGGTGCTCGCCTTGTGGTCATCATCATGGCAGGAAAAGGGACTCTATCTAGAGTTACTGTGGCACTTCGTAGCTATGGAAAGTTTCCTCTTTGCCTTAATTTCTCTGAATACCATCCTTCTCTATCCACCTTCCACCCCTGCAGTTGCCATTAAACAACTGTCTTGCTCATTGAAATGTTCCCTTGGCAGACACTGATTTAGGCTGTATCTTTTGTGAGTTCCACATGTAAAATTTCTGTCTCTCTGGTACTCTTTTTCTAAGTTCCTTGTACTTCCGAAAGTTTCATTATGCTTCTGGTACTACTGTTTGGTTCCTTTCTTTTTTGAGAAACCAAGGACCCAAGTCAGTGTAATGGTAACATTAGAGGTTTAAGGATACCCTAATGCTAACTCATTATGAGAAAGTAATTTCACGGGAGAAAAATGATGGCATTATCTTATTGGTAGGATGAGGGTGATACCCTTATTATTCCCGTAGGCCTCTGCAGACACATGTTACCCAGTGTTGGGTAAGTTTGGAAGGTATGTCAGTTAACTACCATTGCATAACAAACCACCTCCAAAACCTAGTGGTTTAAAACAATACCACTTTCTATCTCTCATGAGTCTGCTCTCGGCTGGGCTCACTCATGTTTCTCTGATCAGCTGGCCAATCAGCTGGGAAGACTTTGCTTTCTCCACAAGTCTCTCACATCCCTCCAGCAGCTAGCCTGGTCTCGCTCTCAGGCCATGGCAGAGGTTCAGGAGTGAGCAAGCCCAGCCGTGCATGGAAACAAGTGGAAATGTATACACACCTTTCAGGTTTATGGCTGGCAGCCTATTTGCTAACATCCCATTGGCCAAAGTGACATAGTCAAGCCCAGTGTCAGAGTGGGGGCAGATACAAAGTTGTAGGATATAGGAAGCTATTAATTGGAGGCATTAAATGTAATCAGTCTCCCAGTCAGGACCCCTCAATGTGAAAGCAAACCTACAGACTTATATTTGTTTTTCTTTTTTTTTTTTTTTTTTTGAGACGGAGTCTCGCTCTGTCGCCCAGGCTGGAGTGCAGTGGCGCGATCTTGGCTCACTGCAAGCTCCGCCTCCCAGGTTCAAGCGATTCTCCTGCCCCAGCCTCCCGAGTAGCTGGGACTACAGGTGCTTGCCACCATGCCCAGCTAATTTTTTTGTGTTTTTAGTGGAGACGGGGTTTCACTGTGTTAGCCAGGATGGTTTCGATCTCCTGACCTCGTGATCCGCCCACCTGGACCTCCCAAAGTGCTGGGATTACAGGCATGAGCTACCGCGCCCGGCCTGAGTTATATTTCTAAGCAAGTTTGTCACAGAAGGCAAAAAAAAAAGTCCAAATAATGACTGTATTGGGCCTATGCTATGGGCATACACAGGGTAGACACTTTACCTGCTACGCAGTGATGATCCTTACAACAACTCTGCAAGGTAGGTAGGAATTGGAGCCCAGAGAAGTTAAATAACTTGCTCAAGGTCACCCAGCCAGTATGTGTTCAGGCAGGAATTAGAATGCATATCTGTTTGATTTCAAAGCCCAGACTGTTTTCACCATACTCACTACCTCTCAGGAGCACCAACCAGAGCCTTACCTTCCCTCTGACACAATTTCCCATTGAGTTGATGCTTTCTGACTAGCTGTACAAACGCCTCCTCCAAAATGTTGCTGCGATCCTAAGGGAATTGTGCAATTCTTCAGAAAACCCACACATTCTCCTAAACTGTCCACTGACTAAAAGCATTCTTTCCTTCCAGATGGGCATTGGTCCCTGGGCTGTACAGGCAGCCCAAGAATTGTGGACACTCCCAGCCATGCCAGAGAGGGAAGGGCCATCTTCTCTTTAACCTTTAAGATTTGGGGATGTCAGAGAATTAGGATATTTGAGCATGAGTTTTGGAGCCAGACTCACTAGGGTTCAACCACTCGCTAGCTTTTAACCTTGGGCAACTCATTTAACTTCTTGAAATCTGTTTCTTCATCTTAAAAAATGGGAATAAGAACACCTCGTTTGCAGAGCTGTTACAAGGACTAAATTTTAATTATGTCTAAAAAGTGCCTAACCCAGTGCCTGGCACGTAATAAGTGGCATTACTAATATTGTTACTATTATTTTGAAGGAGAGCCTTTCCCCTCCTGGGAAACCCTGTTTCTGTCTGTTGGACAGGTCCCCCCCGCCTCCAGCCAGCCTGTGCAGACTTGCTGCCTGCTGTGTCACCGGGAACGCAAAGGCTGGGAAGAAGGCCCTTCTCAAAATGGACTGGTGTTGCAGGGTGAGAAGCTGCCCCCTGACTTCATGCCAAAGCTCGTCAAGAATCTCCTAGGCGAGATGCCTCTGTGGGTCTGCCAGAGTTGCCGAAAGAGCATGGAGGAAGATGAAAGGCAGACAGGTCGAGAACATGCAGTGGCGGTAGGTAACCGCTGACAGGGGTCCCTGAATGCAGGAGGGCTCCTCCCCAAGGAAGTCAGGCTGTTCCCTGTCCTCAGGTGGCTCTCCTTGGGCAGCTCCCATGCCCAGGCACTGAGAGACTTCTGGGCTGCACTGGCACAGCATTGGCAGCTCAAGTTCAGATTTGGGGGAAGAAGAGAAACTTCTGGCAGCCCACCGGTCAGTCCCTCAGGGTGGTCTGTGCACAGGATGAGGGCCCACTCATAGGTACTGGTAGATCACGAGCCTGCTGCCTTCGGCTCTGTGGCAGCTTGAAAGCCAACCAGTATGACATGGGAGACAGAGATGAGTTTGAGGGTCTGAAATGTGCCCTAGTTAGAAGGACAGACACTTGGGAGTCATCTAAGTCTGCTGTTTCATGAATCACGATGGCCAGACTTTCCTCATTTCTCACGTCGCTGCAGATCTTCCCTTTTACCCAGGAACAGTTTAGCTTCAGGACTCCTGGTCAAAAGGCCCTTCCTGTCATTGGCCGCTCTCTACTCCCCAAAGGCCCGCAGTTCACAGGCAGTCTCTGCCCCTACCAGAGTCTCTCTCCCCAGTCTCCACACATTGCATGTAAGTGGGACCACCGCAGCCCTTTCCCAGCAAAGGCCTGGCCCTCATTTGTTCTTATAGCTGGAGTTGTATTAATTGTGTTTTTGCTATGGCACATGGTCTGGAGGAGAAGGAGCTCCCTCAGGAAAAGCTGAGGCAGCAGAGGGTCAGCTCCGATGTTTGCTGTTTGACCGTGAGCCTTTTTCCTCCCCCTTCTCCAGATCTCCTTGTCACACACATCCTGCAAATCACAGTCTTGTGGAGATGACTCTCATTCGTCCTCGTCTTCCTCCTCATCATCCTCATCCTCGTCCTCCTCTTCCTGCCCTGGGAACTCGGGAGACTGGGATCCTAGCTCGTTCCTGTCGGCACATAAGCTCTCGGGCCTCTGGAATTCCCCACATTCCAGTGGGGCCATGCCAGGCAGCTCTCTTGGGAGTCCTCCTACCATCCCCGGTGAGTCTCCAGGCTCGGGAGAGAGCCAGGCCCTATAAATGTGGACAGCTGTGTTTTCCTATCCACTTTGTTCAAACAAATCATAAGACTGGTTACTAAAATAAGTAAAAGTGGAACTGTTCTGGTGGAAGCAGGGGCAGCTTAGACCTTGACTATTTCTGGAACTCCTTTCCCCACAACTCTGAACTTGAAAAATACTGCTAATAGAAAAACGTTTGCCTCTCAAAGTTGTCATTGGCTCTGGTAGTTCACATTGGATCAAGAGGGCATCCGGTGAGGTCTGTCTGAGTAGAAAGTGGAGTCATAGGACTTAGATCACCTGACCCCTGCAGCACCACAGAGGACCTGGGCAACCTTGTCTTCCTAGGCCTTGATTTCCCCACCTAAGGGATGGGTATAAAAGCACTGAATTTAAATGCCCAAGAGATTGGCAGTGTAAGCCGTAATAGTTATTAGCTAATTTAGCAGCTGTGTAAGTCTTCTTTGACCCTGAAATAACTCTCAGAGACCCAGAGACAAAACTCTTGGGTTATTGGTTTATTATGTAAATATGATTTACTGTCATACTTCTAAATGAAGGAGCTGAGTTCTTCAAAGTGGGTCTGCTCCCAGAATTATGAGTGTTGAGCAGTATATAATTCCATTAATTTTGGTACATAAGCTAGAGAGTCATCAGAACCTTTTTCCCACTTGTCTGAAATCTGGGGCCCTCAGGGGTCTGGCATGCCCTGCTGCTGTGGTACACGTGGCACAGAGGCAGAGCCTGGGCCTGCTGCTCCACTGGCTTCTGCAGATCATCCTCCAGGCCTGAGGAGCACCTGTGTACAAGCAGATCCTAGAGAGACCCTCAGAGACAGAATGCATATCTTCTGCTCATGCTGCAGAAAAGGCATGGGGCCTTGTGTGGAATCAGCATTCCTAGTACCTTCTTGCTTGGGCCTGGGCTCCTTGAGCCTGCTCAGCTGTGTTGCTGCCCACACAGAATCTTCTGCAGCTCCAGGGTCCCCTGTGCTGAGAGGCTGTGCCCTCTTGTCACAGAAGCAGGATGCTGTGGCAGTGAGCCTGTGGGCTTTCCTTCCCAGGTCTGGGCTCCCATTCTGACCCCTTTCTCCTCCCTCTGCCCACAGGTGAGGCTTTCCCCGTCTCGGAGCACCACCAGCACTCAGACCTCACTGCTCCCCCTAACAGCCCCACCGGCCACCACCCGCAGCCAGCATCTCTAATCCCGTCTCACCCCAGCTCCTTTGGCTCCCCACCCCACCCACACCTGCTGCCCACCACCCCGGCAGCACCTTTCCCTGCCCAGGCTTCAGAGTGCCCTGTTGCTGCTGCCACTGCCCCCCACACTCCAGGGCCATGTCAGAGCTCCCATCTACCCTCCACCAGCATGCCGCTCCTGAAGATGCCCCCACCATTCTCGGGGTGCAGCCACCCCTGCAGCGGGCACTGTGGTGGGCACTGCAGTGGGCCTCTCCTCCCACCCCCGAGCTCTCAGCCACTCCCTAGCACTCACAGGTAAGTGTGCTGCATGAAGGGCAAACTCGCTACCCACTTGAACTTAGAATTTTGGAAAATTTGGGGTTAACTTTGAGGTGGCAATTAAAAAGTAGACTATGTCTTTCCTTTCATTATTTTTCAATTGTAAAGAAGTATGTGTTTTGGCCTGGCACAGTGGCTCACACCTATACTCCTAGCGCTTTGGGAGTCCTAGGCAGGAAGATCACTTGAGCCTAGGAGTTTGAGACCAGCCTGGGCAACATGGCAAGACCCCCCTCTCTACAAAAAATTTTGAAAATTAGCCAGGCATGGTGGCATGCAACTGTAGTCCTAGCTACTCAGGAGGCTGAGGCAGGAGGATTGCCTGAACCCAGGAGTTTAGGGTTGCTGTGAGCATTGATCATGCCACTGCACTCCAGCCTGGGTGACAGAGCTTTAAAAAAAAAAAAAAAAATAGTATGTGGGGTTTTTTTGTTTTGTGTTTTGTTTTGTTTTAACTTGGAACAATTCAGAAATGTATAAGGAAAAAAATGTCTTCACAACCTAAACTTCTACCACTGTGGTATATTTTCACCATGTTTCTGTATATAAATAACATACTTAGATATTTGATATACCTTTCGTGTAGTAGTAATTTTTTAACATTATGTCATGATCATTTCCCCAGTTAAAATTCTTCAAGAAACTTTTCAATAGTCATATAATGTCTTACTGTATAGCTCAAGCATACTTTATCATTCCCCTATTCCTGGATATCTAGGCATTTCCAGTTGTTTAACCATAATGAATGAGACTGTAATAAGCATCCCTGCACCTAAATCTGTTTGAATGAGAAATCATGTCCTTCAGGGAGATTCCTAGAAGTAACTCTTAAGTACTAAGAAAGGTTATACTAACATATATTTGAAAGAGAATTCTTTGGAGAAGATAGAGGTATATTTTTATGTTAGAAATCAGATCTGTGTTTATCATGCATTTCTATCTTCCTATTGGAAAGTCTCCTGTGTCTGGCACATGCCGGGTTGACAGTGTCTGCAGTCTGCCACCCGCCGGTTTTCACTTAGCGTTGCCTCCTCAGCATATTTGTGTTCTCTTGTGGTGTTCTTAGCCTCTAGCTTCAAAGGCTGGAGAACATCGACCGCAATTCATGTTACTGTTCTCTAGTTGCTGAGCATTTGGGTTATTCGGACATTTTAACATTACCAACAGTGTCTCTAAAGATGTCTTTTCTTAAAGCCTTTTTCCTCTTTTGGATTTTTCTTGTTGGAATCAAGTTCTCAGAATGAAAAAAGTTACTAGTTAAAGGCTGTTTAGGTGTTTTTTGTTCTCTTTGAGGGTTCTTAATACACATTGAAAAACTGCTATCCAAAGGGGTCTCCAAACTGATGTAACCACCAATGAGTGCTGGTTTCCCATATTCACAAGCACACTATTTTAATTTTTCTAAAATCAATTTTGTGGCCTGGTGCCCAGCTCATGCCTATAATCCCAGCCCTTTGGGAGGCCGAGGCAGAAAGATTGCTTGAGCCCAGGAGTTGGAGACTAGCAAGGGCAACATAATGAGACTCTGTCTCTACAAAAAATTTAAAAACTAGTGGGGCATAATGTGCATGCCTCTAGTTCCAGCTACTTAGGTTGCGGGGGCTGAAGTGGGACAGGATCGCTTGAGCCTGGGAGATACAGGCTGCAGTGAGCTGACATCGTGCCACTGAACTCTAGCCTAGGCAACAAAGTGAGAGCCAGTCTCAAAATAGAAAATAAAATCAATTTTGCTGGCCAGGCGCGGTGGCTCATTCCTGTAATCCCAGCACTTTGGGAGGCTGAGGTGAGCAGATCACGAGGTCAAGAATTCCAGACCAGCCTGGCCAGCATGGTGAAACCTCATCTCTATTAAAAATACAAAAAAAAAAAATTAGCTGGGCATGGTGGCGTGTGTCTGTAGTCCCAGCTACTCAGGAGGCTGAGGCAGGAGAATCGCATGAACCTGGGAGGCGGAGGTTGCAGTGAGCCGAGGTCGCAACACTGCACTCCATCCAGCTTGGGCAACAGAGCGAGACTCCGTCTCCAAAAAAAAAAAAAAAAAATCAGTTTTGCTAATGCAATAGATAATGAATGGTTGGTTTAGAACAAACTTCTGTAAGCACCACTGATAATGATTCCTGCCACCATCTTTTTTAATCCACGTCACATGCTTAGCATCCTTTCTAGCAGCAGAGAGGGCTGCTTTGGACTGCCCTGGAAGCTGGGCCTCCACACAGCTCCTTGAGCTCCGTCCTTGCTCTCAGTTCCCCTGCCACCTCAGCCTCAGCCCAGCGTTGGGACCAGCCCAATGGGTGCTTCAGCTGCTCATGGCCCAGCCTAAGGCTTCAGCTCTTCCTGGCTCAAATTATGGGATGTTTCAGGCGTATGTCTCATTCTTACCCTGGGAAAATACTCTGTATTACAAGATATCCCAGTGCTTCCTGAAATCCAGAGGCAGAACAATACAGTGGAGAGAATATGAGCTTTGCATAGAGAGAAACGTGGGCTTGAGTTCCCCACATCTCCCCTGCCTGCACCCACCATGTACCCCTTCTCAGGGCACTGTGCACATCTCACTTTATCCTCCTGTTTATCGTGCATCATTGTCACTGTCTGTTTGCATCCTTGAGTCCTGGCCACCTGTTGGGCAAAGCAGTCAAGTACTCAGCTTCACTCTCTACCACTGCAAAGTGGGGATAATGACACTTATTTTGGAGGACTTGGGGGATGGTTAGAAATAATATGCCAAGGCCGGGCGCAGTGGCTCACGCCTGTAATCCCAGCACTTTGGGAGGCCGAGGCAGGTGGATCAACTAGGTCAGGAGATCGAGACCATCCTGGCTAACATGGTGAAACCCCATCTCTACTAAAAATACAAGAAAATTAGCCGGGCGTGGTTGCGGGCGCCTGTAGTCCCAGCTACTCGGGAGGCTGAGGCAGGAGAATGGCGTGAACCTGGGAGGCGGAGTTTGCAGTGAGCCGAGATCATGCCACTGCACTCCAGCCTGGGCGACACAGCAAGACTCCGTCTCAAAAAAAAAAAAAAAATGCCGACTCTAGAACCTGGCACAAACAGTGGCTCTTATAGTTGGTGTCCCAGAAGTCACTTGCTTTTTCTCAACTCCGTGCCCTGTGGTTAAGGCAGCTCCACCCATCTACTCCAGAGCACCAGAGTCTGCTCAGAAGCACCTTAGAAAGTGAAAGGAGACTGGCCTCATGGATAGCCCTGAGTGTTCCAGAGGAGCCTTCAGCCCACTAATGGGTTCAGGCCTATTTATTGAGCACCTGCTGTGTGCAGGGTTGTTATGCTACACACTGGGACCCAAAAACTGAAGCAACACAGCCCCTGCCCTTGAGGCGTGCAGTCCAGTTTGAGAGACAAATGCGCAAACAGACCATGACAGTGACGCACAATAAGCAGAAGATGGAGTGACGTGTGCACAGTAACCTGAGAAGGGGTGCATGGTGGGTGCAGGCAGGGGAGGCGTGGGGAAACCTTTCCAGAAGAGCCACATTTGTGTTTGGGATGGGCCTTGAGGGACAGTGCAGGTGTTCGCCCTGTTCAGGTGAGAGGTGCAATGTAGTTGGACCACCTGGGACCTCTGTGGAGTGGGGCAAGTGAAGGGCGGTCAGGATGGCAGGTGGTGGTTGGGATGCTTCCTGGGTTTCTGCATCACCCTGCCTCACCTCTGGGCCTTCCTCCCCATCATCAGGGATCCCGGGTGCAAGGGGCACAAGTTTGCACACAGTGGCCTGGCTTGCCAGCTGCCCCAGCCCTGCGAGGCAGATGAGGGGCTGGGTGAGGAAGAGGATAGCAGCTCTGAGCGAAGCTCCTGCACCTCATCCTCCACCCACCAGAGAGATGGGAAGTTCTGTGACTGCTGCTACTGTGAGTTCTTCGGCCACAATGCGGTGAGTGAGCCTGCCCAGGCTAGAGAGGGCTGGGGGCCAGCCAAGGTGAGCAAAAGGAGCACCCTGCTCTCCCCAGAGACCCCGTTGCTCACGGTGGTAATTACCGTGCTGGGGCCGTGAGTCCTTGCACCTGCGTCTGCTCGCTTGATCCTCACAGCACATTTGTGAGGTAGGGGTTTTTAAACATTTTGCTACCTTTGCTCTTCTCATGGTTTCTCTTAAGATTGACTTTTTTTCCTTAGGCAAAAGGAAAGGAAATGGCAGAGAGAAAGCTATGATTCTGATGAGTATGTATACGTGTGTAATCCCAGAGAAGTGAACGCTTGGGAGTGATGAAGGCAGAGTGGAAGCAAAAAGGCTCTCAGTCCCCCAAGTGTGACAGCCAGCCGAGGGACAGGCCGTGAGCACAGACGGCGCCAGGAAGGAGGCTCAGATCAGAGGGCATGCTGGCTCTGGCCAGGGGGAGGAAGCAGTGCAGAAGTCTCATAAGGTGAAGAGGAGAGGGCCGCTGGTTAGGGTAGAGCAGCTGAGGATAGAAGAAATGAAAGTAATTAAATTGCTAGTCACCTTTGAGCTAGGGGTTATTATCCTCATTTTAGAGATGACAAAATTGAGGCTCACAAAGACTCGGTGACTCGCCCAAGGTCATACAGCTTCCCAGTGACGAAGCCCGGGCTCCAACTTGTTTTTCTGGCTCCCCAGTCAGTGTTTGCCCAGCTCTGCCCTGTTCCCTCCTAGTCCCTTCACCCACTGCCGCCTGGATTCAGCCTGGCTGAGAGGGTGAAGCCATGTGGCCTTGGTGGCTAATGGTAGAGAGAACAGTTGTCTTGCTTCTCATCACATACTTGGTGCCCGTGGGAGGGAGTGCTGTGGGCCCCCCAGGCCCAGGGTGTAATGTCAGCACCTCCCCCCCACCCCCAGCCACCCGCTGCCCCGACGAGTCGGAACTATACCGAGATCCGGGAGAAGCTCCGCTCGAGGCTGACCAGGCGGAAAGAGGAGCTGCCCATGAAGGGGGGCACCCTGGGCGGGATCCCTGGGGAGCCCGCCGTGGACCACCGAGATGTGGATGAGCTGCTGGAATTCATCAACAGCACGGAGCCCAAAGTCCCCAACAGCGCCAGGGCCGCCAAGCGGGCCCGGCACAAGCTGAAAAAGAAGGTGGGTGTAGGGAGAGCCCAGCTCTGCCGTCTCTCCTCCCTGAGGACCCTCGCCCCAACCCCCAGGACTTCTGGGGCATGAATGATGCTGGCTGCCAAAGGCCTCAGCTTGGCTCACTGTTCTGGGAAGGTCTGAATGAGTTTGGGAGGCATCAGGGTCAGGGATCCTGGGGGCAAATAACTGGAGGAAAAAACGTGTCATGGCCTGAGAAGTTGCTTGCTGGATTCCTCCAAGCTGAGGACTTGCTTCAGTCAGTCATTTATTCATTCAGCAAACACTTCTACAAATACTGGCAGCCAAAGTGTGACACAGTTAAGTTCTCACCCAGAAGAAGCTGTCCAGTGGGGAGACTGACACAAAACTGGACAAGCATATTAGCATGTGACAAGTACTGGGATGAGGGAAGTCCCCCATCCTGCCTGGAAATGGCTTTACAAGAGGCTGACTGTGAGTACAGACTCCTCAGGAGGGCCCTCCTGGCAGCAGGCACGGCACATTCCACAGCAGCTTGACAGCCAAAACTGAGCAGAAGAGAGGCAGGATGGACAGTGTTGTTGAGGGAGGGCCTCTGAGGCCCTGCGGAAGAGCTGTGGCTTTATCCTACCGGTGAGAGAAGTCACTGAGGGTTTTAATCAAAGCATGCACTTGGTCACACCTGCATCCTAAGATTATGCCGTGGCCAAATGGAAGGTAGCTTGGAGGATTCCAGGCAGGAAGACCTCGAGTTCGATGCCTCAGGCAGGAAACGCAGGCCAAGGGAGAGATGATTGATTGTGGGGCCAGAGAAGAAGAGAGGGATTTTCAGAGGAAGCTGAAGTGATGGGCCTTTGATCTGATGGCAGGAGAGGGAGATGGAGGCAGGGATGTCTCCCAGGTGTTTGCTTGGTGACCAGCAAGATGGTGGTGCCTTTCACTGAGCCAGGATGGGATTTGCAGAAGACAGTGAATTCAGTTGAGGCATGTTGACTCGAAGGTTCCCGTGAGACATCTAAGTGGAGAAGTGCAGGGCTAGCATTTACCAGCGCAGAGATGTAATTGAAGCCAGGGGAATGAACCAGGCCTCGGGACTGAGGACAGAACCTGGTGATCTATTCCTCGGCAGCCCTCCTGCCAGATGAGCCCCAGAGCTTGATGGCTTGTCCCTTGTGGCTTCTTTACCTCTTCACCTGCCTACTCCCAACTGCATCTGCACAGTGACACGTTTAGGAGCCCAGCATCCGAAGAGATTTGGGTGTAACAACCAGCTAGTTCCAGTTCCTGGGTGGTCAAACAGCCCTAGTGCTTTGGAAAGCAGAAGTGATTCACCATCCTTTTTCAGCCCCAAGGACAACCAGGATCCTTCTCCCGCCGCCTGAAGTAGTGAGCCAAGGGGTCCCACCGCTGCCTTCTGAAGGTGGTCAGCACTGTCTTTCTCCCATGCAGTCACCTAGCCAGAAAGGTTCAGTGGGCTGCAGTAGTCTCTGGCCTTTCCTGGCTTCTTAGGACAGTGGTTCCCAGTTAGGTCCCCAGAGAGCACATCCGGCAGTTCCCAAGTCTGATGTGCTTTTCGTAAATATGTGTGCTCAGATGTCTCTTCCCCTTTACTGATAATGCTATCTTCTCTCACCTTTTCTTCTGACAAACTTTCCTTCCAAGTTCAGTTCAGCTGTTTCCTCCTTCATAGCCATCCTTGGGTAACTTCCACTGTACTCCCAACCTACCTCATATATCTGGAGGCTCTGCTCACTCATCCCACACTGCACAGCTCCTGTCTGGCAGGCCCAGGCAGAACCAGGCAGCCCTGCCTTTCCAGACTTAGTCGTGGGGCTGCAGGCAGGGACAGACACACAGTGGCAGCGTGATGCATCAAGTGATTATGGTCATTATCTCTGTAGACAGCAGCCTCCTCCCTTGTCTCCTTCCACCTCCTGGACTTCACAGTCTGGCTCTCCACCAAAGCCCAGCTGCTCCTTCTCTCCCGCCTCAGGAAATGGAAAGAGCTCAGTGTCTCTCTGCTCCCTTCTCCCACTGCCAGCCCGTGACACTCTCACCTTGTCTTTGTGTCTTCTGTCTACACGAAGGTGAGAGAGTCATGGGCTGACAGTGGGAGAAGGGAGCAGAGAGACACCCTGCTTCTTAAAAACTGCACCCCTGGCTCTGTCATCTGTGACCTCCTGCCACTCCTCCACATCCACTGAAGACTCTCCTGCCCCGTTCTCTTCTTCCCAGGTCAATCCGTTTCTCACTCACTTGAATGGAGTAAGCATTGCTAAGTATTGGTAGGAGGGCAGGCAAATTGACCCATCACTCACTCACTCACTCACCAGTACTCAATTCCTTGTCCCGCTGTCTTTCCTTCAGACCCACTCAGAAACACTGCAGCCCTGGGTTCCACCCCAGCCTGGCTCTCCCTTTCTACAGCTCAAGAAAAGCACATGAGTGAATCTGTGGCAGCCAGCCACGTGGGCTCCCGATTGCCGAGTTCCCGTGTCGCCAGGCGGGCCTCTCATGGTTCCCTGGGCTTCCTGTACCTTAGCACGTCCATTCCCCACAGTCCTTCTGTCAGGCCTCCAGTCTTCTCAAACCGCTAGGCCTTCCGAGCCCACACCTTATTTTTTGGCAAATAGCCTCACTTTTTATTTCAATGAGGAAAAAAGCCATTATACAGGGATTCTCCCACTGTTTTGCCATTCCCACCTGCAAACATACTTTCTTCCTTGTCATGAGAGTCACCCTTTTCCCGCCTAAGGCCTGTGCGGTACTTTCTTGACCCCTCAGCCCAGCAGCAGGCTCCTGGTCTAGCTTAGCCTCTCCTCCATGCTGTTCCCGTCCACATTTCATTGTGTCCACCATTCTCTTTTTTGGAAGCAAACTGCTCCTTGAGCCTGTTACCTCTCTCTCAACCCCTCCCCAGCCTCTTTCCTCTCATCACAGCCACACTTCTTGAAAAATGATGTCTGCATTCACTGTCTTCCCTTCCACCCATTAGCTCATTGCAGGCGGTTTTCTACCCACACCCTCTCCAGAGTCACCGGTGACTTTTTTGTTGCCAAATCCATCCTCCTCTGCTGTTCCTATCGTGTTAGTCCACTAGAGAATATCTGGCATTTGTGTTTGTCCTTTTCACACATTGTCTTTGGGCTCCTCTGTCCTCAGCCAGGCAGGAAAGGGCAAGGGGAGTGCCATGTTCTCCAGATGTCTTGCCTGCCCCTCTGACGTCCTTTCTGTCTCCTTTGTGAGCTCCTCGTCCTCCACTTGACCCTCCTTCATGGGGACATCTCCCTGGGAAAGAGATGCCATCTAGAAACAGCCCAATAGTGTTTCCTCCCCACCCTGTACATCCACGTCTCCAACTGCTACTGGACACCTCCTTGTGGACGTCCCACAGGTATCTCAGACTCTGCACATCCAAAGTTCAGCTTGTTGTCTTTCTCCGAACAGGCCTGCTTTCCCTTCTCTGTTGTCTGTCTAGTCAATGGCACCGCCTCCCACCCTGTTGCCTGAGCCGGAGCACTGGGCGCCCGCCTGGGGAGTGCATCATAGTGACCTGGAATAGCATGCCTGGAACTGGATCTCAGTTTGACACTTGGCTCTGCCACACTTGCTGTATGACATTGGGCAAATCACTTAACCTCTAAGCCTCAGTTTCTTCATCCATAAAATGAGAATAACAGAACCTAAGTCGTAGATTGTTGCAGGGATGAAATGGAGCGATGCATGGAAAGGTTAGGCAGAGTGCCTGGCACATGTGAGTTCTCAGGCAGTGGGGCTGCTGTGGCAGCCATAGTGGCCATCAATGTTTCTCTGACTTTTCTCATTCTGTCTCCCTACCCAGCACCAAAAGCCCTATCCATGCCACATCGCTGATAGCTCAGACCAGTCCACCGCTCTCCACCCTACTGCCACTACCTTAAAAGCCATCAGTGGCTGGACATTGCCCTCGGGCACAAACACTGTAGGGCCTGCAGGGCCCTTCACGATCAGCCCCTGCCAGCTTTATCTCTCAGCCTCTCCTTTCTGACCTTCCTGCCCACCTGCCCCACCCAACCCCCACATCCCCCAAAAAATCTGGGCTACAGCTATACCTCTGAATGATTTGCATTCCCAGAAGATACTGAGCTTTCCCATTTCCAGCCTTTCCACTTGCTATTCCTTCTCTCTAGAAAATGCTTGTCTCACTGCCTCCGGGATGATTCCACTCCCCATTCTGTGCTCAGTGCAGATCCTCCCACCTCCAGGAAGCACTCCCTGGTGAACCAGTCTGTGTTGGGAGCATCTCCTCTAGATTCCCAGATCACCCCGTGCTTTCTTCCATGCAGCACTTGTCACTGTCACTCTGAATTCAACAGGCTGTTTGCTGTTGTCTCCCTCAGCAGACTGAAGTCAGCGAGGCAGAGAATGTCTCACGTACGCTAAACTCACAGGGCCTGGCCTGCTGCCTCACAGCCTCAATGGTCGGTAAATGGTTGTCAGATGGAATTGAGAAACATAGGAACTTCTGAAGATCAGGCCTGGGTGTATTGTCCTGGCTCTGCCACTTCCTAGCCACCTCCTCCTCCTGTTCTTTCCAAAGTCGAGGTTTCTCACCTATAAGCAGAGGGTCATGATGCAGCAAAGACAGTGGCGAGGATTAAAGGAGACATCTATGGGAAGTGCTGACGGTACAGAGCAGAAAGTGTGTGTTTCTGTGCTTTCTCCTCTGGCTTCCAGAGTGTATATGGTTCCATATCATTCCCTCCACACCAGCAGTTGTCAAACTTTTTTTTTTTTAGCAGCCAAACTTTTCTGTGAAATCTGTGTGGTGCTGGGGGAGCGAGGTGAAGGGCCCTTGGTCCTCGTTGGTCCAACCCAGGGCCTCTGAGCCCTACTCACAGCTAGAAATGCTGCTGCAGCTGCTGCAGACCAAGCTGCTCCCTGAGGGCCACGAAGCCCAGCCCCACCTTCGCACATGGGAAAGGACCCCACACAGACTCTCAGCTGTCCTCATACTGACCCTGGAATGTAGAGATGCCTCTTCTTCCTAATTTACAAATAGGAAAAGTAAGGTTCAGAGAGAATAAGTGATTTGTCCAAGGTCCCACAGAACAATTGACTGTAGTCCATTGTGGAGCCAGGGTTCACAAAAGATAAGTGCCTGCTGGGACGCAGGGTCACCCTCTGTACATTGACTCCGAGGTGGTAGCAAGCCCTGGTTTCTCTCACCAGCTGCCCTTTCATGTTTCTCTTCCTCCATTCCCAAATCAGCTGGAAGTACAGGAGGCAGTGGGAGTCAATGGCGCCAGGCGCACCACAGCAACCTCCTTCCCGAGGGTTTTTTATCTGCCGCCTGTCTCCCTCTAAAGGCATCGTTGGCCTTGAGGTGGGATGGAGAGGTTGGGGTGACTGAGATCCCACAGACTTTCATTTTGATTCCCTAGATCCAGATCTGTCAAAGCCAACTGGCAGGGCCTGGCCTCTCTGAGCCTTCCAGGCCTCACCTGGGCAAAGGAGCAGCTCTCACATCTTGCTGTGTAGGCCAGTGTGTTTGTCCATGGTATGCCATTGGGCACACTCTAGGTGTGACCTTGATTACTTGAGACCAAATGTGCAGCAAGTGGCCTCTCTACGGGAACACCGCCCTCTTTGGTAACACCCAGACATAGCATCAGGAAGGCACATGCCCTCCCAACCAGAGTAATCTCATCTACCCCCACACCTGCCTCCTGTAAGACCCCGTGATGGCATGGCTTTTTCCCCACCACCCGTAGGGGTGGAGAGAATGCCTCTCTAGTAGTGGTCTTCACATGCATCCCCACTTTGGCTTTACTCCGGAATTATTGTCCCCATTTTGCAGATTAGTCCACTGAAACTGAGGCTCTGGGTGAACAAGCTGTAAAAACCCTACCCTCTGTGGGTGTGACTACCCCTGCCCCCAGGACATGTACCTGTCTGGCTGCAGTTTGCCCTCACTCCTGCAGGGTGGGTAAGCAGGCTAGGATTTTAAGGCTTTGCTTCCAGCAAGTTAGTGGCAAAGCTGGGCCCCAGGCTGATGGGTCAGGTATCACATTGTGCCTGGCAGTTGACAGCCTCCTGCTAAAACTGCCTCTTGCCTTGGCAGGAAAAGGAGAAGGCCCAGTTGGCAGCAGAAGCTCTAAAGCAGGCAAATCGTGTTTCTGGAAGCCGGGAGCCAAGGCCTGCCAGGGAGAGGCTCTTGGAGTGGCCCGACCGGGAACTGGATCGGGTCAACAGCTTCCTGAGCAGCCGTCTGCAGGAGATCAAAAACACTGTCAAAGACTCCATCCGTGCCAGCTTCAGTGTGTGTGAGCTCAGCATGGACAGCAATGGCTTCTCTAAGGAGGGGGCTGCTGAGCCTGAGCCTCAGAGTCTACCCCCCTCAAACCTCAGTGGCTCCTCAGAGCAGCAGCCTGACATCAACCTTGACCTGTCCCCTTTGACTTTGGGCTCCCCTCAGAACCACACGTTACAAGCTCCAGGCGAGCCAGCCCCACCATGGGCAGAAATGAGAGGCCCCCACCCACCATGGACAGAGGTGAGGGGGCCCCCTCCCGGTATCGTCCCCGAGAACGGGCTCGTGAGGAGACTCAACACCGTGCCCAACCTATCCCGGGTGATCTGGGTCAAGACACCCAAGCCGGGCTACCCCAGCTCCGAGGAGCCAAGCTCAAAGGAAGTTCCCAGTTGCAAGCAGGAGCTGCCTGAGCCTGTGTCCTCAGGTGGGAAGCCACAGAAGGGCAAGAGGCAGGGCAGTCAGGCCAAGAAGAGCGAGGCAAGCCCAGCCCCCCGGCCCCCAGCCAGCCTAGAGGTTCCCAGTGCCAAGGGCCAGGTCGCTGGCCCCAAGCAGCCAGGCAGGGTCCTAGAGCTTCCCAAAGTAGGCAGCTGTGCTGAGGCTGGAGAGGGGAGCCGGGGGAGCCGGCCAGGACCAGGTTGGGCTGGCAGTCCCAAAACTGAGAAGGAGAAGGGCAGCTCCTGGCGAAACTGGCCAGGCGAGGCCAAGGCACGGCCTCAGGAGCAGGAGTCTGTGCAGCCCTCAGGCCCAGCAAGGCCACAGAGCTTGCCCCAGGGCAAGGGCCGCAGCCGCCGGAGCCGCAACAAGCAGGAGAAGCCAGCCTCCTCCTTGGGTGAGTGCACC
Source organism: Homo sapiens (assembly GCF_000001405.40). Lineage (NCBI taxonomy): Eukaryota > Metazoa > Chordata > Mammalia > Primates > Hominidae > Homo > Homo sapiens. The sequence continues at coordinate 177,524,173 of NC_000005.10, read as the reverse complement.
AGGAACTGAGCGGCTGACCCCCTACCCCAGCCAGTCCACGGGGTGGAGGGGCAGCCTTTGTGTGTAGACAGCGCTGCCCCCAGAGCATAACCCCAAAGGCCTGGCCATGGGCACTGAGCCCTCCTGGCTGTGTCTTCCTAGACGATGTGTTCCTGCCCAAGGACATGGACGGGGTGGAGATGGATGAGACTGACCGAGAGGTGGAGTACTTTAAGAGGTAGGTGTGGGCTGCCTGCTCTCCCACTTGTGGAGGACTCCAGGTCCTGCCCACACTCAAGCCCTGTGTTGTGCCTCAAGCCTCAGAAAGGCCTGCTCCCTTGGCCCTGACCCCTTGGGGAGGCTCACCGCCCCCCCAGGCCCTCTCCCACCAGCCTGCCTGCTGAAAACCCACGGAGCCACTGGGCAGGATGGCACATCTGGGAAGGTGCAAGAGATAGGAGGAGGCATGTCAGGCCCCAAGAACCAGGGCTTTTTCCAGCTTTATTTGCTTTGTGTCTTCACTTGCACATTCTCTGCTTTGCCTGGGCTGAGGTCAATGAAGCAGTCTAGACCAGGAGTCTGGCCATGAACATGCAGCCTACTGATAAATGGCATAGAGTTGGGGAGGATAGAAGGGGTGGGGGCTGGCCAGGAGGCCTTCCCAGGAGAGGTGGTAACCAAGTTGAAACCTGAAGAGTAAGAATGAGTTGGCCAGATAAGATGAAAAGGTATTCATGCCAAGGGGGCCAGTGAGTACAAAAGATTAGGGTGAAAGAAACACGGCATACAGTCACCCTCCATATCTGCAATCAAAAATATTCAGGAAAAAAAACAAAACACAAAAAATAGCAATACATTACTAAATAATGCAAATTTTTTAAAAATTAGTATTTTTGGCCAAGCGCGGTGGCTCATGCTTCTCATCCTAGCACTTTGGGAGGCCGAGGCGGGTGGATCACCTGAGATCAGGAGTTCAAGACCAGCCTGGCCAAGTTGGTGAAACCCCGTCTCTACTAAAAATAGAAAAATAAGGCAGGTATGGTGGCACGTGCTTATAATCCCAGCTACTCGGGAGGCTGAGGCAGGAGAATCGCTGGAACCTGGGAGGTGGAGGCTGCAGTGAGCTGAGATTGGGCCACAGAACGAGACTCCGTCTCAAAAAAATACGTATTTTTACAGGTGGTGGCTCATGCCTGTAATTTCAGCACTTTGGGAGGCCAAGGCAGGCGGATCACTTGAGGTACTTGAGGTCAGGAGTTCTAGACCAGCCTGGCCAACATGGTGAAACCCTGTCTCTAATAAAAATACAAAAATTAGCCGGGCGTGGTGGCGGGCGCCTGTAATCCCAGCTACTTGGGAAGCTGAGGCAAGAGAATCGCTTGAACCTGGGAGTCAGAGGTTGCAGTAAGCCAAGATTGTGCCATTGCACTTCAGCCTGGGTAACAGAGTAAGACTCTGTCTCAAATAAATAAAAATAAAAATATAATAACTACATAGCATTTACATTGTATTAGGTATTTTAAGTAATCTAGAGATGATTTAAAGTATGTGGGAAGGCCAAGCACAGTGTCTCCCACCTGTAATCCCAGCACTTTGGAAGGCCAAGGTGGGAGGATCACTTGAGCTCAGGAGTTCAAGACCAGCCTGGGCAATATAGTGAGACCCTATCTCTTATTTAAAAAAAAAATAGTAATTTTAAAAAAAAGTATATGGGAAGAGCAGTGCAGGTTTTATGCAAATACTACACCATTTTTATATAAGGGATTTGTGCATCTGCAGAGTTTGGTATCTGGGTAACTAATCCCCAGCAGATTCAGAGGGACGACTGTACTTAAGGGAATGACGGAAGCCAGCCTAGCAGAGCTAGAGAATCAAACACCAGATGAGGAGGAACTGGAATCCCAAGGCAGTTTCACTGTCTTCATACATAGTTCCCTGGGCCCAATCCAGAAGCCCCCAAGCCAGCAAAGCTCCTATGCCTGCTAAACCCTAGCACCTGAGAGCCAAAGAGGTTTTGTAGAGAACCTGGTCTCTTAGTGATGGGGACATGGTACCTTAGGAGTCCAGTGAGCAAAAGAATGAACCTCTGATTGTGCTTCTCATGTGTCCCCCAAACCCAACAGGTTCTGTTTGGATTCTGCAAAGCAGACTCGTCAGAAAGTTGCTGTGAACTGGACCAACTTCAGCCTCAAGAAAACCACTCCTAGCACAGCTCAGTGAGGTACAGAGACCCCAAGAGTTACATCCACTGCCTCTCCCTGTGCTTGGCCACCCTCTCTGTACGCTCACCAGACCATTCTGTGCTCTGGGGCACAGGGAGTTGGACTTGGGGCATGGGATCCCTGGCTTCTGTCTGCATCTTCACAGCAATGGCAGGCTACAGCCTCCAAAGGTCAAGGCCCCATCTCCTCCCGCAGCCACTCACCTGTAGGCCTCTGTTCTATTACTCCTCCCTGGGCCCTGCTGCCCATGCTCCTGAAGGTCCCCTTCCTGGACTGGCATCTCCTAAGGCATAACCATCAGGGTCTTAACCAGCTGATTTCAAAAGTGCCCAGGTAGCCATCAGACCCATGGGGCTGCCCTCACCCCTGATGTTATCAGTCCTTGTGTCAAGTCCCACTTCCTGCCCTGGGCTCCTCAGTGTAGGCTACCAAGGTACTTCCCAGCTGAAGCAGTATAAGAAGGGGCCAGCCCTGAGTGAACATCGTGGGTCATTTAGGCATGGAGGAGTTGATGGGGGCTACCCAAAGCAGGGCAAGCTCCATGAGGATATTGGTAGCCACAGTGCCTCCTAGAGGAAGAGACCTGGGTGCCAGATGGCATTGGCATCCCCTCCCAGCCACCCACACAGGTCCTTTTGTCTGAAACAATGATGTACCAGATGATGATCTGGACTGGGAACAGACAACTGGAGAAGGCACTGGGCCTGGAACCCTATTGATGAAGAGAAGGGCAGCTAGCAGGCAGACCTTGGGCTGGGGGCTGAGTGGCTCTGCAGTTTCATATCTCAACCCTCAGCTGTGTCCCTGGGGTCAGGCCTTTTCCGGCTGGCAACCACACAGCTGTCCTGGAGACTGGAAGGCTGGGGCAGGCAGACTGAGCTCACAAACAACTCACTTCCCCCATGATGGCCCCACCTGTCTTTCTCCTCTTTCCAGTGCCAGGCCAGCTCCTCTCTGGGCCTAAGCAGCAAACTTCCTGGACCCTCAGCTCCCCAGGGGCAGCTCAGAGAGCCTGCAGCCAGGACAGCCTTCAGAGCTGGGGCTCCCTGTGACCCTTGTGCTGCCCCAGAGTCCAGACTGTCTTCTTTACACTCACTTTAGTCCTCCTCTCCTCTGAAGGGGTTGGGCTCAGTCAGCCCCCTTTGCCAAACTGAGATGCCCACAAGCCCCAGAAGTATCTTCCAGATCCAAGGTGGCCTCCTGCCTCTTCTCCACCTCCATGGGAACCAGGAGTAGCAGGAACCCCAGGCACTTCATCTGTTATCCCTACTGAGAGAAAAGAGATCGCATTTCCTCCCACAAGCCCAGTTCTGTCATTCAAGAAATCAAATGCAACTGTCTCCTTCCACTGCCTCCTCTTGACCCTTTTTCACCTGGTCTGGCCTCTTTTCCAAGATAGAAGATGCCCCTCTCCCCACCCCCTAGTAAGCGCTCTCCTTTGAGCCTCTTCACCCTCCCCCGGGCTGTGCACCTACAGTCAGAGGCAGGAGCACAGCTGCACAGCTGGCCTCCCAGCCCCTGCTGATGGACAGCAAGTGCCAAAGGCTGGATCTACTCAAGGATTGTCCCCCACCTTGTCAGGATCCTGGGACTGGGGCTCTGTCTCCCAACCCGTTAACCTGCATCCTCTGCTACAGGTGATCCAGGGAATCTTCAACATTTTCAGCCCAGGGAACAAAAATAGCAGCCAGCTGTTTCTGCTACCAGAGACCCATGGGTACCCAAGTGGCATGGGGAGGCTGGAGCATGGCTCATTGCTTACTGTGATTCTGCTCTTTTTTTCTTTCTCAGGCCCTGCCCAGGCTGAGCTGCTTCAGGGCGTCCTGAGGCCCTGACTGCCAGCTGAAGGCGTATAATTTTTCCCTCCGTGTGCCCCACCTACCCGTCCAAGACCCTCTGTGCTCCCCACCATCCTGGACCAACCAAAAGCTGAACGGATGCCACACTGTGCTGGGGCCCCTTGACCTCAGCAGAGCCGCTTCCTGGTGCTACGCAGCCTCCACACTCAGAGCCCGTGGACTGGGCTGGCCTAAGGGCCAGGGCTGATGGTACTGCTGGCCCAACACTGCTCTCTTTGTGTTTGGTTTTTTTGTTTTTGTTTTTATTTTGTTTTTTTCCAATTCTTTACTTTTGATACTGTGAAGATCTTTCGTGCCGAAAGATAAAGCAACATTTGGACACAGAGTTGGCATGTTGGTGATTTGTGGGTCTGGGCGGGGAGGGAGTTGAGGGTGTGCTCAGAAGCATGGGCTCTCCCTTAGTCACTAACCCTAGCATGCACCATGCATCAGCAGTTTGGTGCTATTGTCCCATTTTACAGGTGAGGAAACTAAAGCCGATAGGAAAGTGACTCAGCTCAACTTAGTCTGGCTGATTAGCATTGAGCGCAGACTGGTATGATTATGGCATCTGTGCCCTTTTCTCCTTTTGGGAGGTCTCTGGTATGTGAGCCTGGGGCAGCCCCTTCCCCACTCTTTCCTGTTTCCCTCTTTGCAAGATGGGTGAGTTGGAGGGGTTGAAGATGGTCTCTGTGCATCTGGATGTGAGAAGAGGTCTAGGAAAGACCCTGAGGCCTTCATGGATCTGTAGCCTGGGCCATCGAGGCCCCTCACACTGACTTCACAGTCAGGGGAAGTTGGGGGTAAATTGAGTTTTTTATAAATTAGATCTGATTTTCCAGTGGGGGTGGGACATGTAGCTGAGGGCTTGAGAGTTAAGAGGATAATGAACTCTTCTGTAAAGTCAAGCAAACTACCTCATCCCCCGAAATGGATCTGGTTTGTAAATTTGGATTTTAATACAATGAGTTTTCCCAAAATGCCCCTGACACACTTGTGTCCAAACTCCATGCCCCAAATTTAGTTTTCGCTCCTAAAACCAACTCGAGGTTATGTGGGGAGCTAACAGGGTCACTAAGAGCCATGTATTTGGGTGTTGTGAGCAGGACCAGAAACCATGTCCTCCATCCCTCCCAGGTTGAGACCCACCATGGGACTGGCAGTAAGCACCAGCTTATTTTTTTTATAGAGATGGGGTCTTGCTATGTTGTCCAAGCTGGTCTTGAACTCCTGGCTTCAAGCGATCCTCCTGCCTTGGCCTCCCAGAGAGCTGGGATTACAGGAATGAGCCACTGTGCCCAGCCTAAGCTTTCTTTACTAAAGAAGACTTCATGAATTCCTGTGTATCCTTCACATCCCAGCTAAGAGGCCATTGTACTGTGAAAACTATGACACTTCGAAAAGCGGTACCTTGTCTTAGGATCTTTCTCTTTAAGACCAGTTATCTGTCTATATTTCTAGTCTCAATCTACATAAGCTCCTCGCACACCAGGTATGTGTCTTGATTATCATCTGCTTGAGCGCAGTGCCAGCGCCCAGCACACACTCTTGAAGGCAAGAAAGCACAGAGCTGACCAAGTCATTCCTTAGAAGTCTCTAATAAAGTTGAAACCACTTACTCTGACAGTCACAGCAGGCATGCTCTGGTCGCAATCTCCTTTTCTGGCCTTAGGTCTGGCTTCCCCATCCCACCCTTGCCGCAATGCTGTTGCCTAGTGAATCTGTGTACTTGCACATCGCCAGACCTGTATTCCTGCAGCGCCCTGGCCCAGGACGCCTCTCCTCTCCCGGCCTGAGATTGCCATGTATTTGGGTGTTGTGAGCAGGACCAGAAACCATGTCCTCCTCCATCCCTCCCAGGTTGAGACCCACCATGGGACTGGCAGTAAGCACCAGCTTATTTTTTTTATAGAGATGGGGTCTTGCTATGTTGTCCAAGCTGGTCTTGAACTCCTGGCTTCAAGCGATCCTCCTGCCTTGGCCTCCCAGAGAGCTGGGATTACAGGAATGAGCCACTGTGCCCAGCCTAAGCTTTCTTTACTAAAGAAGACTTCATGAATTCCTGTGTATCCTTCACATCCCAGCTAAGAGGCCATTGTACTGTGAAAACTATGACACTTCGAAAAGCGGTACCTTGTCTTAGGATCTTTCTCTTTAAGACCAGTTATCTGTCTATATTTCTAGTCTCAATCTACATAAGCTCCTCGCACACCAGGTATGTGTCTTGATTATCATCTGCTTGAGCGCAGTGCCAGCGCCCAGCACACACTCTTGAAGGCAAGAAAGCACAGAGCTGACCAAGTCATTCCTTAGAAGTCTCTAATAAAGTTGAAACCACTTACTCTGACAGTCACAGCAGGCATGCTCTGGTCGCAATCTCCTTTTCTGGCCTTAGGTCTGGCTTCCCCATCCCACCCTTGCCGCAATGCTGTTGCCTGGTGAATCTGTGTACTTGCACATCGCCAGACCTGTATTCCTGCAGCGCCCTGGCCCAGGACGCCTCTCCTCTCCCGGCCTGAGATTGCCACGCTTCCCTGGAAGCGCCCCCCAGGCAGCTCTGTTAGAGCATTTACAGTAATAACCGTTTACATTTATACAGGGCCTCCCACTTCAAAACCACTGCCATCCGTATCTGATGCGTGCCCCACCAGTGAACGTATGTGTCACACAGGCGCAGTCAGGGAGGCAGGGTGTGTCGAGCGGTTTATCCCGCAACCCCGGCGTCCCCGGCAGGGATGAAAGCGCAGGGCCCACGCGAACTCGGCCCGCAGCTCCCGGCCCTAGAGGACGCACTGTCCGCCGGCAGGGGCGTGCCCAAGACGCCATGCTCTGGGAGAGGTTGGGCACCTGGCAGGCCGCCCCGACTCCGGATCAGCTGTCTCCGCTGCGTACGTCTTCCTCTTCCAATGGGCTTGGATTGAGCCTTCTAGCGCATATTCCAAGTCCTCCAATGTCCCACAATGCCTTGCAGCCGGTTTCGCCCTCGGTCCTGGCAACTGTCGCGTAACCACCCATGAAAGCGTCCATGCCTCGCCGTGCGATAGTATCTCCGGAACAAATTTGTCCCTCTGCGCGATCCGGAACTCCGAGGTCGTTCCTACGCGCCGTCGTTCGCCTCTTCACATCGGATTGGGTCTCACGCAAGGATGAGGCGGGGTTTCGCCGTGGCGCGCATGCGTGCAGCAAAGAATGGAGGAGTCGGAACCCGAACGGAAGGTAGGAGAGAGGCGAGACCCCGCGCGTGTGGGAGCGGGCGTGAAGAGGGGAGCAGGCCGTGCCTGACTGGCGTGTGCTTGCAGCGGGCTCGCACCGACGAGGTGCCTGCCGGAGGAAGCCGCTCCGAGGCGGAAGATGAGGACGACGAGGACTACGTGCCCTATGTGCCGTTACGGCAGCGCCGGCAGCTACTGGTGAGGGGCACGCGTCCGGGGAGGGATGGGGCCGTGACCGCGGGGTCGCAGGGGGCGGGCGTGGCCTCGGCCTCCGTGGGGAGGAGGGCAGTCTGAGGAGTGAGCTTCAGTACACCAGGGCGCGGCCCCCAGACAAACGAGGGACCGACGGCTTGATCTGAGGGGTAGGGCAGCTTTGCGCCTCGGGCACAGGATCCTCGCCCCAAAGCCAGGATCCTGACGCTGACCTTGTGGACTCCATGCCCATCCTATCTGTGGATCCCGGGTGGAACCTCAGCTCCAGAAGCTGCTGCAGCGAAGACGCAAGGGAGCTGCGGAGGAAGAGCAGCAGGACAGCGGTAGTGAACCCCGGGGAGATGAGGACGACATCCCGCTAGGCCCTCAGTCCAACGTCAGCCTCCTGGATCAGCACCAGCACCTTAAAGAGAAGGCTGAAGGTGGGCTGGGCAGCACTGCCTGGGCGAGAAAGAAGAAGCTGAGCCTGGTACACCGTTTTGGTATCTGTCTGACATCTTCCACTTCTTTTCTCAGCGCGCAAAGAGTCTGCCAAGGAGAAGCAGCTGAAGGAAGAAGAGAAGATCCTGGAGAGTGTTGCCGAGGGCCGAGGTATGGTTGTAGCCAGGATAGTGAGAAGGTGGACTGAGTCTTCTCCTCCCAGCCCCAGGCATGTTATATCTCAAGGGATCTGGCTTCTCAGAAGCAGGAGCCAGCCCTGAGCCATGTCTCTCTCTTCAGCATTGATGTCAGTGAAGGAGATGGCTAAGGGCATTACGTATGATGACCCCATCAAAACCAGGTATGTCTGTACAGTCTGCAGTTGCCCTTGCTTAGGATGGTACATGCAGGGATGCTCCCAGGCCAGCTATTCCCAGGGCTCTCTTGATCCCTGTTACCCATCCACAGCTGGACTCCACCCCGTTATGTTCTGAGCATGTCTGAAGAGCGACATGAGCGCGTGCGGAAGAAATACCACATCCTGGTGGAGGGAGACGGTATCCCACCACCCATCAAGAGCTTCAAGGAAATGAAGTTTCCTGCAGGTAGTCAGGGGCTGGAGAGAGATACCACACTTTTATAATCAAATGCCTGTGAGGTTATGTCCTGGCTCCCACTGAGCTCAGCCACATCTGCATTGGATCCAGTCACTGGGGCTGGAGGGATTTGAGGAGGAGTTTCTTTAGGTTCCTTGTTGCCTCAGCTGTACGTGTTCATTGTTCTCTGCTGTTACAAAGCTTCAGGAGGAAAGTGCCATTGGGCATAGACACTGGGTACAAATCCTGGCTGCACCTAGCCTGTGGGCCTTGGACAAGTCTCTTTTTTTCTTTTTTTTTTTCCACTCTCTCTCTCTCTCTCTGAGCCTCAGTTTCATCATCTGCAACTTGTAGGGGTAGTGCCAGTTTTACAGGCTTTGGGGCTCTGAGAAAGTACCTGTGAGTCATGAAGACGATGTCGGTTGGTTTTCATAGCCATCCTGAGAGGCCTGAAGAAGAAAGGCATTCACCACCCAACACCCATTCAGATCCAGGGCATCCCCACCATGTGAGTGTGGACTGTGGACCTGGGGTCCTTGAGGAGGGCTGGAACAGGGAGGAGCAATGGCTAGGTGTCCTTCATCTTCTGTTGAAATTGGCCCTCGGGTCATCCTCTCCCAACAGTCTATCTGGCCGTGACATGATAGGCATCGCTTTCACGGGTTCAGGCAAGACACTGGTGTTCACGTTGCCCGTCATCATGTTCTGCCTGGAACAAGAGAAGAGGTTACCCTTCTCAAAGCGCGAGGGGCCCTATGGACTCATCATCTGCCCCTCGGTAAGATAGGCTGGCCTGGAGGGCAGGCCAGAGATTGGGGCTGCCATCTGGTGCCAGCCTTTGTCCCTCTGCCTGCAGCGGGAGCTGGCCCGGCAGACCCATGGCATCCTGGAGTACTACTGCCGCCTGCTGCAGGAGGACAGCTCACCACTCCTGCGCTGCGCCCTCTGCATTGGGGGCATGTCCGTGAAAGAGCAGATGGAGACCATCCGACAGTGAGTGCTGGCGCTCCCTGCCCCCCACCTCTGCCACCTGCGAGTCTGTGGAAAAGCTAAAGGACCCTTTACCTTAGCCACTCCACAGATCTTCACAGAGGGCTGCTGTGAGTGCGACCCTCAAGGAGCTCCCAGTCTAATGGGGAGGTTAGTTGGGGGAGGACAGAGGGATGTGGCCAGGTACTGTGGGAGCACGGCAGATGGAATGGCCCACCTTGCTGGGGACATCTGGGAGGTGGGAGCTCAGAGAAGGCTTTTCCGGGAAGGTGACATTTGAATTGGGAAGAGGGGCAGTCCAGGCTGAAAGCACAGAGGCGGACGGCCCAGGAAGGTCAGGGTCATTCAGTGGTCAGTCAAGGAGGTTGAGGCACTGGGGTAGGGCTGGATCCCAGCGGCACCTGTGTCCTTTCAGTGCTGTGCAGTCCTCTGCAGACCACCAGAGGCCCTGGACCAGGCCCTCTGTTCACAGATGGGCCAGACCCCATCCCGGAGGCCTTCCTCCACGGACTTCTGAGTATTAGGGAGATGGTGAGCACAGAAAAGGTGAAGCCAGTGGGCCAGGAAAGCGAGCCCAGAGTAAAGCCTCTGGAGCTTGATGACAGCGCTTCTGGGTGAGAGGCTGACCCAGGAGAAGGGGGAAGGCGCGCCAGGCCGAGCGGTGGTGAAGATGGCTGCAGTGCCTTGGGAAAGAGCTGTGTGCTATACATAGGGCAGGTGGTGGGAATGATGAGAAGGGGACAGACAAAGAAATAGGAAGGAGGACAGAGAGCAGAGCAGATGCAGGGTGCCTGCTTGCCTCTAGATAGGTGATAGGCCAGTGGCCCCAACCTCAGGGTCTCTCCTTGGTCCCCAGCGGTGTACACATGATGGTGGCCACCCCGGGGCGCCTCATGGATTTGCTGCAGAAGAAGATGGTCAGCCTAGACATCTGTCGCTACCTGGCCCTGGACGAGGCTGACCGCATGATCGACATGGGCTTCGAGGGTGACATCCGTACCATCTTCTCCTACTTCAAGGTGCCGCCCCCGCCCGGCCAGGGCACCCTGCACCGCCCCCCACTGCACGCCACATCAGACTGCAGGGACCCCATGCCCCTGGCCACCCCAACCCACTGCTCATACTTTGTGGGCTGTGTCTCAGTTGCTCAGCTTCCCCAGACCCCATGCCCCTCAGCCCAGCCCTGTGTGCCCTTGGTCGCAGCCCCCCTCTTCCTCAGGGCCAGCGACAGACCCTGCTCTTCAGTGCCACCATGCCGAAGAAGATTCAGAACTTTGCTAAGAGTGCCCTTGTAAAGCCTGTGACCATCAATGTGGGGCGCGCTGGGGCTGCCAGCCTGGATGTCATCCAGGTGGGCAGGTGCTCCTGATGGGCGGTCTCTCACCTGTGGGGGCTGGATCTGACAAGTCTCCCTGAAGCTGATTGGAGCCGGGGGTCCACCTTGTGGGAACCGGGGGTTTCATTCAAAGCCCCTGACGCTTAACCAGGGCCATTTTTAGGGCACCAGCCCTTGGCGGCCAGAGGCTTCTGGTCACCTCCTGGTCCAGATGACGGGCCATGGCAGGGCTGTGGCGGGTAAGCCTAATCTCAAGATCACCTGACCTGATCTTTGTGGTGGCAGGAGGTAGAATATGTGAAGGAGGAGGCCAAGATGGTGTACCTGCTCGAGTGCCTGCAGAAGACACCCCCGCCTGTGAGTGCAGCCAGGCCAGGCCGGGGCCAGAGTCCCCAGGACCAGGGAGGGCTTTGGAGGGGACAGAGTGCCAGGGGAGGTGCGGTGGGTGCCCAGGCAGTTAGCCCCTGACTGGAGTTGGTCTTTCCGGACAGGTACTCATCTTTGCAGAGAAGAAGGCAGACGTGGACGCCATCCACGAGTACCTGCTGCTCAAGGGGGTTGAGGCCGTAGCCATCCATGGGGGCAAAGGTCAGGGTGGTGCAAGCACTGGCTTGGACCCTGCTGCAGTAGCAGTGCTTTACCTAATGCCTTCCCCTGCCTGGTTGGCCTGCCACTCCCCTGTCCCATGGTGGCTCTGACAGTGTCTGCCTGACCCTCCCCAGACCAGGAGGAACGGACTAAGGCCATCGAGGCATTCCGGGAGGGCAAGAAGGATGTCCTAGTAGCCACAGACGTTGCCTCCAAGGGCCTGGACTTCCCTGCCATCCAGCACGTCATCAATTATGACATGCCAGAGGAGATTGAGAACTATGGTAAGAGCCTGGGGCCCAAGGGCATGGGTTAGGCCGGAAAAGGGCCAAGCCAGGCCCCTAGTGTCCAGCGATGGGCCAGAGACTCTGTCCTTCTCTCTGCAGTACACCGGATTGGCCGCACCGGGCGCTCGGGAAACACAGGCATCGCCACTACCTTCATCAACAAAGCGTGTGGTGAGTCTGTTACCAGCGCCACCTTAGCTGTTCCCTGGGTCCCCTGCCTGTGGCCACCCAGGTTCTGGCCACAGAGCCCAGGATGGGCCCTGATGCTTCCCCACTCCTCCCCCAGATGAGTCAGTGCTGATGGACCTCAAAGCGCTGCTGCTAGAAGCCAAGCAGAAGGTGCCGCCCGTGCTGCAGGTGCTGCATTGCGGGGATGAGTCCATGCTGGACATTGGAGGTGACTGCAGAGCGGGATCCCCGAGTCCCCAGCCGGCAGGTGGCAAGGAGGGGTGCTGGAAGTCAGAAACGTGAAACCGGTGGACCGAGGGTGCCTAACGGGGGGCCCGAAGTCCAGGGCATGGATCCTGGTCCTTGACTTGGCTGACCCCTGTCCCCATTCCCCCAGGAGAGCGCGGCTGTGCCTTCTGCGGGGGCCTGGGTCATCGGATCACTGACTGCCCCAAACTCGAGGCTATGCAGACCAAGCAGGTCAGCAACATCGGTCGCAAGGACTACCTGGCCCACAGCTCCATGGACTTCTGAGCCGACAGTCTTCCCTTCTCTCCAAGAGGCCTCAGTCCCCAAGACTGCCACCAGTCTACACATACAGCAGCCCCCTGGACAGAATCAGCATTTCAGCTCAGCTGGCCTGGGATGGGCCAGGCTGGTCCTGGCTGCCTGTTCCCTGTGCTCTTCAGAATTACTGTTTTTGTTTCCTTTTACCCCAGCTGCCATTAAAGCCCAAACCTCTAGCCCAGCCCTGGCCCTGCCTCTGTGTTTCACCTCATCCGCCCCCTGGTTCCTGGACAGACGTCACCTCTGACCTCTGGAGCCCCTCTGAGGCAAGGCCCCAGCATCTCCCACTAGCACTGCCAACACCTGGCCTGCTGGTACTTGGCTGTGGAAGGAGCCACCGAGCTGGTGCCCGCCTCTGGGGACTCTGGGTCTCTCCACTGGGTTGTCTGAATTTATGACTCAAGGAGGGACCACATTGGCGGGCCAAGGAGAAGTGCTTGGATTCTCTGGTCTCCCTGGCCAGCTGTCATAGCTCTCAGGCCCACTCTTCCTGTCAGGGCTGTGATGTTTCAGGGACTTCTCCTGAAGCCCCTTGGGAGGCTGCTTCTTGCCTCAGGACCCCCACCCACTGCCTGCCTGTGCCAGCCACCTGGAGGGAGCCCTCCATTCCGTTGACTGAGGAGGCAGCAGATGTCATAGAACTGCCATTTAGGCCACAAGCTCTCCCTAAGCCTGCTCTGTGCCCAGCTCTGCTGAGCTGTGAGGACCTAGATGGGCCAGGGAGATGGCTGCCTGGGAAGCCGTCAGGCGAGGGGAGAGAAAGACGCACACGCAGAAACGTGGACGGCAGTCACAAGACCGCTAGCAGATGAGGCAGGATCTCAGCATCTGGTGAGAGGTAGGCAGGGACGGCACAGGCGGCCACACTTCCTCTGAGCCAGGCACTTTGCATGTATGGCCACATGCTCATTCCAGTGAGACAGCGGTTGCTCAAGCCATATTTGTCACTTGATATGTGGCATTGGGCAAGTTACTTAATTTTTCTGAGCACCGATTTCCTCACTGTTGAAATGGCGATGAGAACGCAAAGGATGTGGCGTCTGAGGTGGACGGAGCTTAGGGCTGCTTGGGCCACAGTGGGCACAGAGCTGGGTGCCAGGAGGCCTTCAGGACATATTTCCTGGCCAAGTGCATTCCCAAATGGCATTCCTTATCCTCTTCCATGTTCTCTCCCAGAGGTGGTGCTGAATGACCTGAGGCTGTTCCAGAATAAAGGTATACACACAGCCCCGCTATTGGCATCTTGCTAGGCAAGCCAACAAAAGGCGCCCCCAGCAGGAAGCAAAGCTTTAAATGAACATGTGACCTCTCCGGGGCCCCCTGGGACCTGCCACCCACACTCACGTGGTTGGGGCCATTCAGGGCTGTGGGTCCCATGTGGACTGGATGCCCAGCGTGAGTGTATACCGTGAGGGCCTTTGAGCTCTCGGACAGCGTGGAGTGGTCAAGGGAGGCCTCCAGGAGGAAGAGGTGGCCAACCGCCCCAGGCAGCACAGTGGTGAGGGGGCCCTGGAGGGGCTGGCCTGGGGGAGATGCAGGCCAGAACACACAGGTCCCTGAGTGTTGGGCTGAGGAGCCTGGGCTGCACCCCAGGAAGGGGAGAGACAGGTTGGTCTTGGGTTGTGGAGAGTGCTGCATGGAGGCCCAGTGGGGCAGTGGCCCCTGGGGGGATGCCAAAGGCTGGTGATGTTCAGTGGCTCGTGAGGTGGAGAGGAGCAGGTGAACACGAGAGAGATTTCAGGGAGAAAGAAAAGCAGCAAGATGGGGTGAGGCGCTCAAACCAGGACGCCGAGTGGGAAAGCCAGGAGTTGGCTAGAGAAGGGTCCTGGGTGGAGGCAGGGCCAGGGAGTGTCAGGCCCAGGGTGCGCAGCTGCCCGGGGCGGGACGGGGGAGGGGCGGGAACTCATGACTCGGGGAGCCAGACTGCGATCAGACGCGCGTGCCCAGCTGAACCAGGTGCGTGAGAAGGCTGCCTTCAGGTGGCCGGGGGCTCCCTCCAGGTAGGTGTGGGCACCTTGGGCAGCCAGAACCCCAGGGAGGAAATACATGCTGCCCCCAGCCCCTGAGCTGAAGACAGGCTCCCCTCCCCCCGGCCTGCAGCTGTCTCTAGACGGAGGGACGGGAAGTGGCCAGAAGGGGAAGTGTGAGGAGTTCCCGTCCAGCCTGTCATCAGTCTCCCCAGGTCTTGAAGCGGCGGCCCTGCTCCTGGCCGTGACCATGGACCCTCTGGAGACCCCTATCAAGGATGGCATCCTCTACCAGCAGCATGTCAAGTTTGGCAAGGTGGGGACCCCTGGCTGCCAGGCAGCTGCCAAGGACCAACAGTGGGTGGAGAATGCAGCCTCTGCCCCTGCCTCGGACAGCCCAGGCAGACCTGGGAGACTTGGGAAGGGAGTCAGGGTGGAGGATCCCACCCAGGTATGGGGAGTGGAATGGAGTGCGGGTGTCAGCCTGAGACGGCAGGGGCTGAGCAGGCTCTGCCAGACCCTGCCTCCGGGAGAGATGGGAAATACAGGAGTGGGAGAGGGTCGAAGGCTCAAACCTCCCAGCAGGGAAGAGCTTCACAGCCTCTGACCCATGAAATAGTGCCACCGAGGGCCCTAAATAGGGTGAGGGGCTGAGCTGGAGGAGGCCTCAAGGGTGGAGCCCCTCCCTGCAGCGGCACTGTCCTGGGAGCAAGGAGGCAGGGGGTCACCTCTCCTCGGCAGCAGCCCCACACCCCCGCAGCTCAGCTGCAGCTGCTGCCCAGGCAGATAAACCGTCAGTTTCCTTTGCTCGAAGCTATTTGCATGTTTCCTTCCTTAACAGCTTGAGGCAGAGGCCTCCCTCCCACCCCAGCTCTTGGCCTGTGGCCCAAGTGCCCCTTTTTGGGGGTGAGAGGGAACCAATATAATGGCAGTGTCTGGTGGTCTGCCCGGCCACTGGATGCTTTACAAACATGACCCAGTAGCAGTCCCAGCTCGAGTTCTCATGGCCTTTTGAGAGACGACATTGATGCTTGTGGAGGTCACAGTTAGGAAAGAGCGGGCTGGGATTTGAACCCAGGGCTGACCAATCCCAAGCATAGCCAAGGCCTCCTTACCTGGCTCCCTGAGAAACTGGGGAGCAGAGGCCCGCTCCTGGCTGGGAGCGTTTGCCGAGCAGCTTGTGCTGAGCCAAGTGGCACGGACAATCTGCCACCCAAGGGTCTTCACCCTCCCGCTCCCCTCCCGCAGAAGTGCTGGCGGAAGGTGTGGGCTCTGCTGTATGCAGGAGGCCCATCAGGCGTGGCACGGCTGGAGAGCTGGGAGGTCCGGGATGGTGGCCTGGGAGCAGCGGGTGACAGGTCGGCAGGGCCTGGCCGGCGAGGGGAGCGACGGGTCATCCGCCTGGCTGACTGTGTGTCCGTGCTGCCGGCTGACGGCGAGAGCTGCCCCCGGGACACCGGTGCCTTCCTGCTCACCACCACCGAGCGAAGCCATCTACTGGCTGCTCAGCACCGCCAGGCCTGGATGGGCCCCATCTGCCAGCTGGCCTTCCCGGTGAGTGCGGCGAGCAGGGGGGCGATTGGGCTGGGGCACCTGCCCCCGACTTGTCCACCTCCACGCTCACATCCCATCACCCAGCAAGCTCCACCGAGCACCTACAAGCCTGGGAAAAGTAAATCTATAATGACTCTCAGAGGGCCGTGCGTGCCATGGAGAAAATGGACCGCCAGGGGAGCAGGAGGAAGTGAGGGAGCGACGGGCAGGGTGGCCAGGGAAGGCCTCTCAGAGGAGGGCCCTGAATGACAGGAACCCACTGGGCAAAGGTCTGAGGACAGGGGCAGCCTGGGGAGTTGTGAACAGAGGGAGTCCCGTGGGCAGAGGCCCCGAGGCCGGACAGTGTGGGGTGTTTAAGGGCAGAAAGAAGGCGACGTGGCTGGAAGGAAAGGAGTGCAGGAGGAAGCCAACTCACAGAGCTTAGGAGAGCGGCTGAAATGCCCTAGGCCATGTGTGTGGTTTTGTTCTGAGTGAGAGGCGAAGGCTTTGGAGGGTTTAAGCCGGACATGTTTGTAAAGCCCCAAAAGGTCTGTGATGGGTCAAAAGGAAGTGAGCCTGGGGGTTCTTCAAAGAGGTAAACAGAGTTACCATGTGGCCCACAGGTCCACTCCTAGGTGTGTGCCCAAGAGAACTTGAACAGGTGTTCAAACAAAACATGTACATGTGAGGCAGGAGGATCGCATGAGCCCCAGAGGTCGAGGCTGCAGTGAGCTGTAATCGTGCCACTTCACTCCAGCCCGGGAGACAGAGCAAGACCCTATCTTAAAAAAAAACCCACATGGACATGAACGTCCATAGCAGCACTACTCACAGCCACCAGAAGGTGGAAACAGCCTACATGGCCATCAGCTGACAAATGGATAAGCAAAACGTGGTCCGTCCGCAAGATGGAATACTACTCAGCCATAAAAACAAACAAACGCCTGGCACAGTAGCTCTTGCCTGTAATCTTAGCACTTTGGGAGGCTGAGGTAGGAGGATTGCTTGAGCCTAGGAATTCAAGATCAGCCTGGGCAACATAGTGAGACCCTGTCTCAAAAAAAAAAAAGAAAAGAAGAAAGAAAGAAATGTACAGACAAGGTAACTCCATTGGGATAGAAATCAGATGAGTGTTGGCAGGAGCTGGAGGAAGGGAGAAGTGGGGAGTGGCTGCTCATGGGTACAGGGCTTCCATGTGGGATGATGGAAAAGTTCTGGAACTAGACAGTGGCAACAGTGCACAGCCTTGTGAGTATACTAAAAAGCACTGGTGGCCGGGTGCGGTGGCTCAGGCCTATAATCCCAGCACTTTGGGAGGCCGAGGCGGGCGGATCACCTGAGGTCAGAAGTTCGAGACCAGCCTCAACATGGAGAAACCCCGTCTCTACTAAAAATACAGAAGTAGCTGGGCATGGTGGTGCATGCCTGTAATGCCAGCTACTCGGGAGGCTGAGGCAGGCAGAATTGCTTGAACCTGGGAGGCAGAGGTTGCGGTGAGCCGAGATCATGCCATTGCACTCCAGCCTGGGCAACGAGAGCAAAACTCCGTCTCAAAAAAAAAAAAAAAAAAAAGAAAAGAAAAAAAAGAGCACTGATGATACACTTTAAGATGTAAAATGGGCCGGGCGTAGTGGTTCACACCTGTAATCCCAGCACTTTGGGAGGCCGAGGCAGGCGGATTACCTGAGGTCAGGAGTTCGAGACCAGCCTGGCCAACATGGTGAAACCCTATCTCTACTAAAAAAAAATTACAAAAATTAGCTGGGTGTGGTGGCACACGCCTGTAATCCCAGCTACTACTTGAGAGGCTGAGGCAGCAGAATTGCTTGAGTCTGGGAGGCAGAGGTTGCAGTGAGCTTAGATCGCACCACTGCATTCCAGCCTGGCCGACAGAGCAAGACTTTGTCTCAAAAAAAAAAAAAAAAGTAAGATGGTTAAAACAGTAAATTTTATGTTCTCTGTATTTTATCATATTTTAAAAATCAAAAAACAAAAGGCAGTTGAGGTTAGGCATGGAGGTTCGTGCCTGTAATCCCAGCACTTTGGGAAGCCGAAGCACGTGGATCACCTGAGGTCAGGAGTTCGAGACCAGCCTGCCCAATATGGTAAAACCCTGTCTCTACTAAAAATACAAAAAATTAGCCAGGCATGGTGGTGGGCACCTGTAATCCCAGCTACTTGGGAGACTGAGGCAGGAGAATCACTTAAACCCGGGAGGCGGGCTGGGCGCGGTGGCTCATGCCTGTAATCCCAGCACTTTGGGAGGCCGAGACAGGCGGATCATGAGGTCAGGAGATCGAGATCATCCTGGCTAACATGGTGAAACCCCATCTCTACTAAAAATACAAAAAAAATTAGCCAGGCCTGGTGGCGGGCACCTGTAGTCCCAGCTACTTGGGAGGCTGAGGCAGGAGAATGGCGTGAACCTGGGAGGCGGAGCTTGCAGTGAGCCAAGATCGCGCCACTGCACTCCAGCCTGGGCGACAAGAGTGAGACTCCATCTTAAAGAAAAAAAACAAACCCGGGAGGCGGAAATTGCAGTCAGCCGAGATCTCGCCATTGCACTCAAGTATGGGTGACAGAGCAAGACTCCATGTCAAAAAAAAAGGCAGTTGACAGGAGCAAGGAGCCTGGTGAGGAAGCTGTGGCATTTGACCCGGCTGTGTTGCTATGGGCCAGGGTGGTGCTAGTAGAGGAGCTGAGTGGGAAAGAGCACAGGGGACATGCTGAAGGCCTGGGTGTGGGGATGAGGCAGAGATTGGGGGCACCTTGCAGGGTCATAGCAGGTGGCTGTGGTGAGATGGAGGAAGACACCTGGGGTACTGCTCTAGGCTGTCAGACATACAGAAGCTGGCCCAGCCAAGCCCAGGGGCTGCAAGGGACATCCTTTTGTGTCCCCAGTGATCTGCAGCTCTCAGACACCCTCAAGCACAGTGCCTCTTGCCCAGCCCAGCACTCTCAGTGGGGAGCCAGGTGGGAGAACAGGCTCGGAAGGGGACCTAGGCTTATGCAGCGAGCCGGGCAAAGCTGGAACTGGAGCCCAGGCCCCTGGATGCCCCCTGGCTTGTGGAGTTCTGGGATACTGAGGGGAGGGGACAGGGCATGGGAGTGCGGTGCTCTCACCTTTGACTTGAACTCATTCCCCAGGGGACAGGGGAGGCCTCCTCAGGATCCACAGATGCCCAGTCTCCCAAGAGGGGCCTGGTCCCCATGGAGGAAAACTCCATCTACTCCTCCTGGCAGGAAGGTAAGTTGGAGGACGTGCAAGGGCAGCCTCAGCCCCCCACACCCAGGGCTGGGTCTTTTTGGGACTGACGGAGCTGTCCTGGCCACCTGCCACAGTGGGCGAGTTTCCCGTGGTGGTGCAGAGGACTGAGGCCGCCACCCGCTGCCAGCTGAAGGGGCCGGCCCTGCTGGTGCTGGGCCCAGACGCCATCCAGCTGAGGGAGGCCAAGGGCACCCAGGCCCTCTACAGCTGGCCCTACCACTTCCTGCGCAAGTTCGGCTCCGACAAGGTGAGGTGCAGGGGTGGGAAAGGGTGAGGGGCTGACACCCTGGACCCTCCTGCTAATCCCCACCCGTGTGCCCTGTGCCCAGGGCGTGTTCTCCTTTGAGGCCGGCCGTCGCTGCCACTCGGGTGAGGGCCTCTTTGCCTTCAGCACCCCCTGTGCCCCTGACCTGTGCAGGGCTGTGGCCGGGGCCATCGCCCGCCAGCGGGAGCGGCTGCCAGAGCTGACCAGGCCCCAGCCCTGCCCCCTGCCACGGGCCACCTCTCTGCCCTCCCTGGACACCCCCGGAGAGCTTCGGGAGATGCCACCAGGACCTGAGCCACCCACGTCCAGGAAAATGCACCTGGCCGAGCCCGGACCCCAGAGCCTGCCGCTACTGCTAGGCCCGGAGCCCAACGATCTGGCGTCCGGGCTCTACGCTTCAGTGTGCAAGCGTGCCAGTGGGCCCCCAGGCAATGAGCACCTCTATGAGAACCTGTGTGTGCTGGAGGCCAGCCCCACGCTGCACGGTGGGGAACCTGAGCCGCACGAGGGCCCCGGCAGCCGCAGCCCCACAACCAGTCCCATCTACCACAACGGCCAGGACTTGAGCTGGCCCGGCCCGGCCAACGACAGTACCCTGGAGGCCCAGTACCGGCGGCTGCTGGAGCTGGATCAGGTGGAGGGCACAGGCCGCCCTGACCCTCAGGCAGGTTTCAAGGCCAAGCTGGTGACCCTGCTGAGTCGTGAGCGGAGGAAGGGCCCAGCCCCTTGTGACCGGCCCTGAACGCCCAGCAGAGTGGTGGCCAGAGGGGAGAGGTGCTCCCCCTGGGACAGGAGGGTGGGCTGGTGGGCAAACATTGGGCCCATGCAGACACACGCCTGTGTCCACCCTGGCCTGCAGGAACAAGGCAGGCCGCCTGTGGAGGACCTCAGCCCTGCCCTGCCCTCCTCATGAATAGTGTGCAGACTCACAGATAATAAAGCTCAGAGCAGCTCCCGGCAGGGGCACTCACGGCACACGCCCCTGCCCACGTTCATTGCGGCCAACACAAGCACCCTGTGCCGGTTCCAGGGGCACAGGTGACCTGGGCCTTACCTGCCACCCGTGGGCTCAAACCCACTGCAGCAGACAGACGGGATGGAAATCATTAGGACTCCATGTTGCTCTGCACGGCCGAGTGACACGAAGAGGCAGGCGGAGGGAGCTGTGAGGCTTACTTGTCAGACTCAGGAAGGAGCAACATGAGGGCCCAACTGGAGACCCGGAGGCCCGAGCTGGGAGGAGGCAGTGGGGGCGGGGTGCAGGTGGAAGGGATTTCAGAGACACCCTCGTCCAAAACACTTGTTCCCTGCTGAAACTCCAACAATTTGCAGATACTTCTGGGAACCCCAGGCGTCAGTCTCCTCATCTGTAAAGGAGAGAGAACCGATGACGTATCAGGCATAATCCTTGATGAGAGTTTGCTGCGTGCCTACTCAGTGCCAGGCGCTGGGGGACACAGCCGTGTTCAGGACAGCCTTGGTCCTGTTCTCCGGGAGCCGACATTCCAGGGGGAGAGAAGTTTCCTGAAGACTTCCATGCTGCGTTCCCTCCTCTGCTCCTGCTCCTGGCGCCATCCTAGGAGCCAGCCACGCACGCAAGCGTCATGCCTCCAGGGCTCTGACTGCCCAGCCCCTCACCGCAACTCCACCTCAGCTGCACACACCCTTGGCACATCCTGAACCTCATTTTCATGACGGACACACAATTTTTGCTCTCTCCTGTCCAAGCCTCATCCTCTGGCCGCCACCTCCTTCCAGCTCACTTCCTTTAGTGCGGCCAGTACCGCCCCTGCCTAGGCATGTCGACCTGCAGGGACCCTTTTCTGGCTCTTCGAGGCCTCTGCCCACCATCCCCTCTTTGTTCTCCATAGTCCCTTCCCCCTGTTCTCTCTCGTTTCATCTTACTGGTCTGGCAAAGTCCCCGGCCTTGGGCGAGCCCAGACCTCCTCAGTGCCTGCACACAGCTGCCCACAGCCAGAGAAATCCATTTAAGCAGACTGCCTGCATCCTTCTTAACAGTGCAAGGCAGGCACTCCCTGCCACAAGAGACCCTGTTCCCTAGTAGGGCAGCTTTTCTCCTCCCCAGAACCTCCTGTCTATCCCCACCCAATGTCTCCTCACAGGCATATTGGGGAAACAGGTCGGGCTCTCCCACCGTATCTGCAAGTGTACTGGCATCCATCTGTCTTCTTCCTACCCCTACAGTAGAAACAGTGTCTGTCCCCAGCTGTGCTCTGATCCCGGCTCCTTTCACCTCAGAGCTTGGAAAATTGAGCTGTCCCCACTCTCTCCTGCGCCCATTCATCCTACCAGCAGCTTTTCCAGCCACACGCAAACATGCTCTGTAATTTCACATTTTAAACCTTCCCTTGACCTCACATTCCTCTTCGGCCACCTCTGTTTCTCTGTTCCTCTTCACAGCAAAAACTGTTCAAAAGAGTTGTTGATTACTTTCATTTCCACTTTCTCACCCCCATTCTCCCCTCAATTAACTCTCCTTCATCCCCATGATGCCATTATGTGGCTTTTATTAGAGTCACCAACCTTATTCTCCAAAACAAAAGCAACAAGGACTTTGACTTCTCAGCAGCACTCGGCTCTGGTTCTTGAAACACCCCCGTTACTTGCTATTCCTCCTACCTCATAACAATCTCCTTCCCAGCCTCTACTGCTGCCTTCTCTGAGTTCTTCCCAGGGTCCTAGGCTCAGATGTAGTGTAGCTCAACCCTGCTACACAAAGAATCTCCTGAAAGCCTGTAAAAATGTCCATGCATGTTCTGTGAGTGATCTACCAAGAAAATAAAAAATTTTAAAAATCAAATGCCCATGCCTGGGCCCACACGCAGGGGCTCTGATTTCATCAGTCTGGTAGGTGGGTTCTGGGCATCCACGCTCACTGGATTTCCGGATGATTGTAGTATGCAGCCTAGGCTGGGAACCACTGGCCTCAGCAAGCCAGTCATTCTCCAGGTGTCACAGACCCTCTAGGTGCTAATGACCCCGAAGGTCTGTCTTCAGTGCACACCTCCCCCTGAGCTCCAGATTTAGGAATCCCACTGCACACGAGACATCTGGATGTGGAAAAGACATCTCCAGATCCCATGGGTGAAAGGGGGTTGGGGGAATGGAGACTCTGGTGTTCTTCCAGGATGTGTGTGGACACAGAATGCAAAGCCTGGAGGGATGCTAGAGCCATAGGGAGGAAGATTTTGGCTCACTTATTCATGCAAGCACTTCCTGATGGGTAAGGTCTTAGAGCAAGCTGAGGCCAAGAGGCGGGCAGTCGAGGTGCTGCTGCAGGCACCCCCACTCCCTACAGTGGCAAGCCCAAGCCCAGCCCTTGGCAGCTCAAATCCCAGGACACGCTGAAGGTCACCCAGAGAGTCAGGGGCATGGCTAGAACCAGAACCCAGGACTCTGGGGACCCAGCATGGCATCCTTTCCTTCATTACAAATCTGAGCTGCTTTGTTTCCTAGGGATTTCTGTGATATTCCAAGGGGACTGTGGGAAAGAAAGTCCTTGGAAACCACCAGGACGCTAGAGGCCTGGCCTGGAGCCTCAGGAGTCTCGGCCACCAGAGGGCGCTGGGTCCTTGTCCAGGTCCAGTTGCTACGCAGGGGCTGCCTGTGCTGGGAGGCTCCCCAGGGGACACAGACCAGAGCCTTGCACCAGCCCAAGGAATGGGAGCCTGGGGTCCTCTCTGCTGGAGGACTGCCAGGACCCCCAGGCTGCCGCCTCTTCCTTTGCTCATTTGCTGTTTCACTTTGTCAATCCTTCCTTTCTTCGTGTGTTCATTCACATCCACTGTGTGCTGGCCCTGGGGAAATGTTAGATAAGACACATTAGCTGTGTGTCTTCATTGTCCTAACAAAGAACACACCCTGGAAAGAGCACCGCAGAGAGTCCCCATTCCCCCATCTCCCTCCACACATGGAATCTGGAGATGCCTTTTCCACATCCAGATGTCTCTGGTGCTGTGGGATTCTTAAATAAACAAACATTTCATACAGAATGTGAGATGATGGAGATGCTATGGGGAAAAATAAAGCAGAGGGAGGGCCTAGTGTGTGATGCGGGTGAGGCATCCAGGGATTGCTGTTTCAGCTGTGATCAGGAAAGGCCCTGGGAGGAGGCCACATCTGAGCAGAGACCTAAATAAAGTTGGAAACCTGTTGCTGAGATATCTGGAGAAGTGTTTCAAGGGCCGGGCACCGGGCATGGTGGCTCACGCCTGTAATCCCAGCACTTTGGGAGGCCAAGGCAGGTGGATCGCTGGAGGTCAGGAGTTTGAGAGCAGCCTGACCAACATGGAGAAACCCCATCTCTACTAAACATATAAAAATTATCCGGGCATGGTGGTTCATGCCTGTAGTCCCAGCTACTCGGGAGGTTGAGGCAGGAGAATCACTTGAACGTGGGAGGCAGAGGTTGCAGCAAGCCGAGATCACACCACTGCACTCCAGCCTGGATGACAGAGCGAGACTCCGTCTCAAAAAAAAAAAAGAAAAGAAAAAAGAAAAAAAAAGAAAAGTGTTTCAAGCAGGGGAACTGGCAAGTGGAGAGGCCCTGAGGCAGAAATATGCTTGGCCTGCTGGAGGAAATGTGAGTGAGGAGGTCAGGGTGGCTGGAGTGGAGGGAGCGAGTGGTAGGAGTCAGACCCAGTTTATTCATATTCTGTAGGTCTTAAGGACTTCAGTTTTATTTTGAGTGCAATATGAGCCCACTGGAATGCTAAAAGCTGAGAGTGACATGGTGCTGTGATTCTGGCTTTAAAAATATCACTTTGGCTGCTTCGTGAAGACTCTGGAAGGGGCAAGGGTGAAAGCAGGGATGCCCGTTAGGAGACCGTTACAGGGGCGCAGGCACAAAATGGCAGTGGCTGGGACAATGGTGGCAGCAGCGGTTAGATGTGAACATGTTGAAGGTGGAATTTGCAGAATCTGGGGGAGGACAGAAGAGAAAGGATAACTTCATCGTTTCTGCTGAACCAGTTGGATAAATGTTGGTGGCACTTCTTGAAGTGAGGAAGGAGTTAGGAAGGTGGGAAAGGCACAAGTTTGAATTGGGCCATGATGGTCTGAGATACCTAGTACAGTGGTTCCCCAACCTTTTTGGCAGAAGGGACCGCTTTCATGGAAGACAATTTTTCCACAGACTGGGGGTGGGGTGGGGATGGTTTCAGGGTGGTTCGAGTGCAGTACATTTATCATTAGACTCTTTTTTTTTTTTTTTTTTTGAGATAGAGTCTCGCTCTGTCACCCACACTGGAGTGCAGTGGAGCCATCTTGGCTCACTACAACCTCTGCTGCCCAGGTTCAAGTCATTCTCCTGCCTCAGCCTCTCAAGTAGCTGGGATTATAGGCATATGCGCCACCACGCCCAGCTAATTTTTGTATTTTTAGTAGAGACGGGGTTTCACCATATTGGCCAGGATGGTCTCGAACTCCTGACCTCAAGTGATCCTCCCCCGCCTCAACCTCCCAAAGTGCTGGGGTTACAGGCGTGAACCACTGCACCCGGCCCATTTATCATTAGATTCTCATAAGGAATGAGCAACCTAGATCCCTCGCATGCACAGTTCACAATAGGGTTCACGCTCCTATGGGAGTCTAATGCTGCCGCTGCACTCAGCTTCTCTGGCTTGCCGCTGCTCACCTTCTGCTGTGCAGCCCAGTTCCTAACAGGCCACAAACGGGGAGTTGGGGACCCCTGATCTAGTAAACATCTAGGCAGGGTTTTGGATAATGGAGTTAGAGTTCCTGGGGAGAGGTCAGGCTGGCCATGAAACATGGGATGCCTTTGCATATAGGTGGTGTTGAAAGCCACAGGACAGTACGGGGTCTCAGGGGGTGAGCATAAAGAGAGGCGACATCAGATGGCCAAGGCCAGAGGCAGAGGAGGATGGGAAGGAGGGGCCAGTGGGGCAGGGGGAAGCTGTGAAGCCAGGGAAAAAGGGTGTTTCGCGGAAAAGGATCAACCTGGACCAGTGCTGCCCCTAGGCAGGGCAGGATGAAACTTAACCACCACGGATTCCATGGCCCCATGGCCTCCAGGCCACAGGGGACCTTGAGAAGAGAGATCTCAGGGGACGGGTGCGGACAAGAGCCCGCCTGGCATGGCTTCAAGAGATAACTGAAGGAAAGCAAGTGGAGACGCGATAAACAGACAACTCCCTGGAGGAATTTTACTCTCGAGAGGAGAATTAAAGGGTAGTAGCTGGAGAGGGATGTGGGGTCAAGAGAAGGTCTTTAACGACGAGAACTCTCACGGCGGTTTGTGCAGAACAGGGTGGGTGTGATGACTGTGGATGGAGAGGGGAGAACTGCAGCGACTCTGTCCTAGGAGGAGGTGATGGGCCGGGACCACCAAGCGAGTGGAGGGTGGACGCCCCTTCCCTCACCCCGACACCCGCATGTGCTCAGTGTCCGTGCCGCCGGCCCTAGTGCCTGGGCTGAACGCGGGGCCGGGACTCTGAGGACGCCTCCCAGGCGGCGCAGTCCGCTCTGGCCAAGGTGGAGCGGGACGCGGCGCTTCCGACGGTGCGCGGGTCGGCTCGGGGTTGCAGGGACATCCGGCGTCCGCTCCTGCCCTGTTTTCCTGCCTTCGGCAGAGCGTTGCGCAACTCTAGCTTTAAACGCCCCTGTCCCCCTCAACTTGTCTCCCCCAGCCCCTCTGATTTACAGATTCTGCAGTCCCCGAGGGTTGCGCCTACGATACCGACACTCGCGGCAGCCCTGCGAGGCGAGTATGATCGTCCCATTTTTCGGAGTAGCAAACTAAGGTTCAGAGACTACTATGTCCCAGGTCGGTCTGGTTTGAAGGTCCGCTTTCCTCTCCCTCCGCCAGCGGGCGGTGCGAGGGACTGGGCGAGGCAGCGCTTCCCTAAGGAGGCGACCCGCAGCCCCGGCCCCCTCCCGACTCCGCCCCGTTGCAGGGCCCGGGTCGGCGAGGCCTCTCAGCTCTAAGCCCGACGGGACTTGGTGATTGGGCAGGACGGAAGAGCTGGGTGGGGCTTTCCACCAGCGGAGAAAGTCTAGTGGGCGTGGTCGCGACGAGGGCGTGGCCTGGTGCCCCGCCCCCGTCCGCGCGCTCAAAGTGGAGGGTGGCTGTGGGGGCGGGGTCAGAACACTGGCGGCCGATCCCAACGAGGCTCCCTGGAGCCCGACGCAGAGCAGCGCCCTGGCCGGGCCAAGCAGGTATCGACGACCGCGCGGGGCGTCTTGGGCTGCACCAGGCGGGCGCCCGGGGCCTGCTGAGGACCACAAAGGGCACTGGGGGTCGTGGTCCAGGCTGTGCTTCCTCCCGCTGGCCCTGGCCCCTGCCTCCGCCCCCGCCCCCGCCTTCCTGCCGCTAAGCCGGCTGCGGCGGGGCCGATTGGCGCCTGCGCCGCTTCCTGCGGCCGGGGCCAGTCTAATGCATGGGGCCCGGGCGGGGGACTAAGGGGAAACTGAGTCACGTCGGTGTGGGAGCAGTTCTGTGTGGGAGGCACCACCCCCCACTGGGCTCGGGGAAGGATCCCCCTCCAAGCTATGCTTGAGGGTCCCAGCCCCCATCTGTCTCCACAGGGGCCGCACCCCACTCCCGCCTTCCCCTTCTTCAGCACCCAGGGGTCCCGCCCTGGCTCCCAGCAGCCTCGACTGGTCCCGGAATGGCTAGGAGGATCCGCTGCAGCCGCCTCCCTCCCCTCCCCTCCCCTCCCCTCCCCTCCCCCCCCCCTCGCGTCCCAAGCCCCCGTGTGCTCCCTCCGCTGGCTCTCCGCACAGTGTCAGCTTACACGCCTTATATAGTCCGAGCAGGCTCCAGCCGCGGCCTGCCTGCCGGGACCTGGGGGCGGGGGAGAGGAGAGCCGGCCCCTGACTCACCCGGCCGCCCGAGGCTCCAGGCTGGCTTGGGGGGAGGCCGCGCCAGTTTAGTCCCTCGGCCCACCCCTGGTTGCAAAGAACCTCAAGCCTGGATTCAGGCACCCCTCACCGTTCCAGTCCCAAGGGGAGGGGGGCTGCTCCTGTCTTTCCAAAGTGAGGTCCGCCAGCCAGCAGCCCAGGCCAGCCTGACAAAATACCTGCCTCCTATGGCTTGGGCGTGCTCAGGGGCTGCCCGTGCCTGCCTGGCCCCTGTCCAAGGCTGGTATCCTGAGCTGGCCCGGCCTGCCTGCCTGCCCGCCCACCATGCTGGCCACTCACCTTCTCTTCTCTCCTCTCAGGAGCCGGCATCATGGATTCCTTCAAAGTAGTGCTGGAGGGGCCAGCACCTTGGGGCTTCCGGCTGCAAGGGGGCAAGGACTTCAATGTGCCCCTCTCCATTTCCCGGGTGAGCCTAGGTTTGGGGAGGGGGCTCCCCCAGCGGTCTTTCGGTGCTTAGGTCTCCAGAGGGTGATGGGGGGAGTCCTAACAGGAGCTGGTCAGGGGCCAGCAGGCCAGGAGATGTCTAGGTCCGGAGATGTAGTGGTACCTGCCTGCCACAAGGACTCCCAATGAGGTGGATACTGGGAGGGAGCACCCAGGCTTCTCCAGCCCTGCACTGTACCCGATGCTGTTCTCCCAAGCTCCTGTGGCCACCTCTGAGGGCTGGAGGGAGGCTCATTGTGCAGGATGGGAGCCTAACATTTCAGGAGGTATCTAAACTTGAGGTGGCAATGCTTGGAGCCAGGCCCCAGGCAGGACACTGTGACTATAGGATTTCACTTCAGCCTCACTGCCGCCCAGGGAATAGCAATCCTCATCCCGTTTTTCCAGATGAGAGAAGAACTCATGGAGAGGTGGCGGGGCTCGCTCATCGAGTCCATGGTGAAGCAGGGATTGGAATTGAGGCACAGCATGGCGTACATTTTTTGTGGGTAGAAGGGGTCTCTCCCCAGCCTATGTAAGGACCCACATCCACTGTTCCCATTCAGGATGTGGTGGCCTTTGACCCCAAGCAGAAGTGTAGGACAGGGCTCCATTCTAGGGGCTTAACTTCAGCTTCCAAGAGCCTGCCCTGGTGTGGGTGGAGCTGGAGGCTGGCTCCTCCCTGTAGCAGGGGGATTGCCTTATAAGCCCAAGAATGCAGCCCCACGCTGGGATGGCCAACAGTGGCTGCGGTCTGCAGAGCTGAAAAGGGCTGGCCTAGGCCTGGCCCCCTGAACCCCACTGGTGGGCCTCTCAGCTGGTCACCAGGCTGCAGCTCCAGCTATATGGTCCAGTTGTGAGACACAACAAATTGCCTGCCCAGAGTGGGTGAGGCCAGCCTGTCGGCTGGCATCTCTGACTGGCCTGGGGGTCAGGAGGGGGTGGGGACTTCCTGCCCCTATATCCGCCTGCCCCAAGAGACCCACCCAGGCGCCGGGTGGGCAGGCAGCTGTTGTCAGGAAGCCCAAGGCAAGCCCAGCCTGGAGGGGCCCAGAGGGTCGTGGCCTGAGGAGGGGCTCAAGCTGGAGTCTGTCTGTAGGAGCTGGGCGTGGGGGTTAGGGTGGGCAGGCCAGCAGTGCTCTTCTCAGGGGTCCTTTGATGGCATTCTCCTGGAACCTGCCCCGCCAGCAGGGTAGTGAGGCAGTGGTTGCCCTATGACACACGTCCCACTACATAGCCCTCACACAGCCCTGAAACCTACCTGACGTCCTGCTCCCTGGGAAAGTGCTGGCCCAGTGTGTCTGGGGAGCCTGAACCTCAGTTTCTTCCCTGATGGAGATGACTTTCAGATATGGCCTGTTGGGGGCACTCCGGGCTCCAGCTCCCTGGTCAGCATCCCTGGCATGTGGGCGGGGCCACTAGCTGATCCCAGCCCTGGAGTTGGACCTGGGCCCACATGGGTGGGTGAGGTGGGCTTTTCTGAGTTAGGCCAGCCCCCTCCCCCTCCCCTGACCCCAGAATGGAGGGAGGTGGGAGGGGCAAGGGCTGGCTGTGGGCCCAGGCCTGGGAGATGAGGTAACGTCTGGGACTGGGGGGCTGGGCTGCTCAGGCTGACTCACCCCCACCTCATGCAGGGTCCAGCCCCCTGGCTTTTTCCCTCCTTGGTTCCTCTGGCCTTACCCTGCCCCTGGCTTGAGCCCCTCCCTGCCTCTCTCCAGCCACCCGCCCAGCGCTGTCTTCTGCTCTCCTGCTGCCCTCCCCACGCTCTGAACACCCCTCATCCTCTGTGCTTCCTGCCCTCCTCACTCTGGGAAGGGAAGCCGTCCCCGCCCCCCACCCCCTCTCCAGGAGCCAGCTAGCTGCACCCCAAGACCCCCACCTCGGGCTCAGCCCACAGCTCCCAGGAGCCAGCCCTGTGGGCAGGGAGTGGCTGGGCCAGGTTTCCCTTCTACTGACTCACCATGACCTTGAGTAAGTCACTTCCCCTCTGGGGTGTCACTTCCCCATACACAGTATAAGGGGTTGATTTAGTTGGATTGAACTAAAGGTGAGGGAGTGGCTCAGGGTGTCTCCAGGTGGGCTGACCCCTCAGTTGGGCCCCCATGCTCAGCAGAGGTGGCCCACAGTGGTGGAGCCTTAGGGTCAGAGACACTTCCTGGCTCTGCCTCTTACTAGCTGGGTGACTTGAGGCAAGTTGTTTAACCTCTCTGTGTACATTTGCAAGTGCAAAATGGGTAAAATCCCAGATTACTCCACAAGGTTGTTGGAAGATTCAGTGTCAATATGTAGCATAGTTGGTGCTCAATAAACTGAAGCAAGTCTTCTTATCTAGCGAGTGAGGAAGGGGCCGCCGAGCTCTCTTAGCCTTCTGACCTCCTACGCAAGCAAGAGGTCATGTTGAGCCCAGCTCGCCTTTCTTTTCCCAGTGCTGTCAAGCTCTGTGCCTGGCTGCCCTGCCCTCTGACATCTCTCTGAAACCTCTTGCCTCCCCTCTCCCTGCCTCAGCTCAGTCTGTGCACTGACCCACCTGAGGAGCCTCCTGGGGCCACTGGCAGCCTGGACCCCCCCAGATCCCCCCCACCCAGTGAAATTGTCTTCCAGCACTGCCTCACAAAAGCCTACTTGATGCAGTGCCAGGCCTCTTGCCAGATGGCTGGGTGGTCCCTTAGGCTTGGACCCAGTCAAGCTGCCCTGCCTGTGTTGCTGGGGCTGGGCTAGAGGCCTGGAAGGGGTTTATCAGGGTCACCCTCTCAGGGCCTGGGAGATACCCAATCCCAGACATTAAAACTGCCAGTAGCCCCTCTACCTTCAAAGCCAAGTCCTGGTCCCTTCCCCTGGCATTCAAAGCCATCGTAAGTGAACTCTCACCCGCTAGGCAGCACACGCCATTCTCCTTTACCGAGGCCCACCGCTTCCTCAAAGTCATTCCTGATGGTCTCAGCTCATGCTGGTGGCAGCCATTTCTCCCAGCCTACTGTCTCTACTCATTGCCACAGGAACCAGGGACTCCCAGCTCAAGAGCCTGAAGGATTGGGGTCAGGGGAAATTGGCAGTCGAGGGCTTGGGAGTGACAGCCATGTATGGCCTACGAAGTCCCAGCTGTCAACTTAGGTCCCATTCAGGCAGTGTTCACAGGGAACCGGGAGATAACAGGGCCTGTTCCTGGCTCTCAAAGGGTCCCAGCAGACCCCTATAGATGGCCCCCGACAGGGTGCTGGGGGGTGAGAGGTCCATAAGAGCCCCCGGTGGTTTCGGGGAGGAAGCTGCCCCCTGCATGGGCCAGAGGGCATATCTGGTAGGTGGAGTGGCCTGGGCAGGAGGCCAGCAGGAGCCTCAAAAGGCAATGGTCCTCCTGAAACACTTGGGCTTTAGCCTGAGCGTGGCTGTTTGTGGACATCATAGCAATTTCTGGACTGTGGGGGAGGGTGGTGGCGGTGAATAGATAAGCATCGTGACTGGGGAAGCTCAGGTGAGCACCACCTGAGGGAGAGGGTCTGGCAGTGAATAAATAAGCAGTGTGACTGGGAAATTGTGAAGCTCAGGTGAGCGCCACCACCTCCTGGGTTGCTTTAGTGTCCAGCAGCTGCCTAGAACTATGTTGAATGAAGAGCTCTCTGGGTTCTGGAAGTGGGACAGCTTTGGGTGGGGCAGTGTTACCACCGTCAGCCTGGCTTGGGTCTGCAGGGTCCAGGGCCTCGGTCACTTTGCTTCTCTCTCCACAGCTCACTCCTGGGGGCAAAGCGGCGCAGGCCGGAGTGGCCGTGGGTGACTGGGTGCTGAGCATCGATGGCGAGAATGCGGGTAGCCTCACACACATCGAAGCTCAGAACAAGATCCGGGCCTGCGGGGAGCGCCTCAGCCTGGGCCTCAGCAGGTATGCGGGTGGACATGGATGGGTGCGCCCGCGCTGGCAGTGGGGATCCCTGCGGGCCCGGCCCGCTGTCACGCTTTCCTTCTCCTCCAGGGCCCAGCCGGTTCAGAGCAAACCGCAGAAGGTACGAGGCTGGCCGGGACATCCGGGCGGTGGGCGGTGTGGGCTTGGACGGCCAGGCCTGCTCGCCCTCCTGGCACATTCTCGGTACCCCAATCCCTGGCCGGGAGTGGAGGGCAGAAACCGGAGCTAAGGCGGGTCTAGGGCCCTGGAGTTGAGCCAGGGGCTGCTGCACGGTCCTGGCACCACGCATGTCCGCCTGTCTGTCCGCCTGTCTGTCCGCCTGCTGCCTCCCGCCGCCGGCGCTGCGTGCTCGCCCGCACTCGGTCAGCCCTCGGTCCTGCGTGGACTGAGATCGCCACTCCCAAATGGGCCCCTTGAAACCTGAGTCGTCCTCTCCCCGTAGCCTCCAAATAGATGTAGGGGGTGGGGTGGGGGTGGGGGGCTGGAGCTGCCGCTGTCCTCTGCTGCAGGCGCCCCACTTCCACCCAGGCCCCCACCTTACCCTGCCCGCCCGCCCTGCCCGGCTGTGTCTCTGCCCAGGCCTCCGCCCCCGCCGCGGACCCTCCGCGGTACACCTTTGCACCCAGCGTCTCCCTCAACAAGACGGCCCGGCCCTTTGGGGCGCCCCCGCCCGCTGACAGCGCCCCGCAGCAGAATGGGTACGTCGGCCCCTGCCCGCCCGCGCCCACGCCATCAGGCCCACTGTGGCCCCACGCCCGCTGCCCGCTGCTGCTCAGTCTGTGCTGCGCCCCAGCCCGGCGGAACCGTGCGGCAGCGCCCCCTGGCGGCCGGGGTGGGGCTGCAGGCACAGGGCCCCTCCCGAGGCTGTGGCGCCTTGCAGGGCACCGCCCTGGGGAGGGGTCTCTGAATGACGCCGCGCCCCCTGCTGGCGGCTGGGGGTTGGGTTGTGGTGTCGGGCCAGCTGAGCCCCAGACACTCAGTGCCGCCTTGTCCCCGGCTGTTCTGACCCCTCCCCGTCTTTCTTCCTCTCCTGTGTCTGTCCCTTTGTCCCTTTATCTGTCTGTCTGTCTTATTTCCTTCACAGGTGCAGACCCCTGACAAGTCAGTGAGCCCCCCTCTGCCTGTGCCTTTCTTCTTCCTTTTGGCACTCTGGGTGGCGGCCCCTCCCCACCCTGGCTGCCCTCCTCTCCACTTCGCCCTCCTGTCCTCTCACCTACCCGCCCAGCAGGGCTCCTGGCCTCACCCTTACCCACTCCCTCCCATCACTGTAACCCAAACCCACATGCACCAAATCCTGGGAGGGGCTGCCCCCACCGCCCACCCCCAGTGTGGGGTTCTGAGCCACACCCTCCCCACAGACAGCCGCTCCGACCGCTGGTCCCAGATGCCAGCAAGCAGCGGCTGATGGAGAACACAGAGGACTGGCGGCCGCGGCCGGGGACAGGCCAGTCGCGTTCCTTCCGCATCCTTGCCCACCTCACAGGCACCGAGTTCAGTAAGTGCCAGCCCAGGGCAGGGGGTACTTTCCTCGCCCCCAGCCCAGGCGTGATCCCTGACCCTGTGTCTTTTTTGGTCAATGCCTGCCTCTGCCCTCTCAGTGCAAGACCCGGATGAGGAGCACCTGAAGAAATCAAGGTACAGGGACGGGCACCAGCCCCTCTCCCACCTCCTGCCTCTTCCATTCCAGCTACTGCCCTGTGTCTACTCCTGAGGCTCCCAGCTGGGGCTCTCAATTCTCCCTTCCTTCCTTCCTTCCTTCCTTCCTTCCTTCCTTCCTTCCTTCCTTCCTTCCCTTCCTCCTTCCTTCCTTCTTTCATTTCTTCCCTCCCTCCTTCCTTCCCTCCTCCCTCCCTGCCTCCCTTCCATCTCTCCTTCCTTCCACTTCTTCCTCCCTCTCTCTCTGCCCCTCAGGGAAAAGTATGTCCTGGAGCTGCAGAGCCCACGCTACACCCGCCTCCGGGACTGGCACCACCAGCGCTCTGCCCACGTGCTCAACGTGCAGTCGTAGCCCGGCCCTCTCCAGCCGGCTGCCCTCTCTGCCTCCCTCTTTCTGTTCCTCCTGCCCAGGGCACCCCCTTAGTGCCTCCAGCTTCTGCCTACCTCACCCCCCCTTTCGTGCCCCTGGCCTGAGCCTCCTGCTGGCCTGGCCCTGGCCGCCCACCTGGGTTCATCTGACACTGCCTTCCCTCTTTGCCCTGTGGTACTGCTGTCTGCCAGGTCTGTGCTGCCTTGGGCATGGAATAAACATTCTCAGCCCTGCTTGCTCTGCCTGTCTTCTATCTTTGTGGACCTGGTTTGCATTTGGGGTGTGGGGGTGTTTCGTGGTTCGGACTGTTTGGGCCCTGCCGTCCTCGTTTTCAGTGGGAGGGGGTACCTGGCAAAGGGGCCCTGCCCTGCCATCACAGATGGCTTCCTGGCATGAGGGGAACCCCAGGAGCTGCCTCAGAAGCGGGAGCCCTGCCTCGTCTCCCAGCTAGAGACCGCACACCAGCTAACTGGACATTGCTAGGAGAAGCTGCCCTTCCCATCCCTACCCCAGTGGGACCTGGAATCCAACTCGGCAGTTTCCACGCCCCCAGTCATCTCCCGTGGGGCCAGCAGGACCCAGGTTGGGGGGTGGGGCCATGTCAGGAAGCTCAGCCATGCAGGGCCTTGAATGGCAGATCTTGCAGCCAGGTGCCCAGGACAGAAGCCCCAGCCCCAGCCTCATCTACACCCCAGGAGCCCTGGCCTGGTGAGAGGGAGTGGGCTCGGGCCTGGGCAAGGGTGGGCAGCCTCCAGGGGCATGGGGGTGGTGGGCTTCTCTCAGCTGCCTGGGGCTCCACCCCCGTCCTTTGGGGTCCCTGGGCACCCCTTTAGAGTCACTTTCCCCGGCAGGCCCTACCGCCCCCAGCCCTACCAGCCGCCCGCCCTGGGCTGTGGACCCTGCGTTTGCCGAGCGCTATGCCCCGGACAAAACGAGCACAGTGCTGACCCGGCACAGCCAGCCGGCCACGCCCACGCCGCTGCAGAGCCGCACCTCCATTGTGCAGGCAGCTGCCGGAGGGGTGCCAGGAGGGGGCAGCAACAACGGCAAGACTCCCGTGTGTCACCAGTGCCACAAGGTCATCCGGTGGGTGGCCTGTTCCTGTCCGACCCTGGCTTTCCCATCCTGCAGCCCAGCCCCACCTGTCTGCCCACCTGTCTTGCCTCAGCTGCGACTGGGGGGAATAAGGATTCAGTTCTCAGCTGGAGTAGGAGTAGGGACCTGGGCTGGGTCCTCCCATTCTTAATCCCACGCTACCTACCCCAGCCCACCCACAACAACTGCTAGCAGCATCTGCCGTGGCGAAATAGCCGAAGGGCCAACCATAGGCTGAAGCTGCACCCCTACCTTTGCTGCTCTCTGGGCAAAGAGGGGCCTGCCCCCTCCCAGCGCGTCTGCCCCTCCCTCCTGCTCTCTGTCTCCCTCTGCTCTCAGAGCATACAGGCCTGGAGCCACTCCCTCTGTGCACTGCCCCGTGGGGCCAAGCAGCATCAAACACCCCCCAGCATCAGCGTGCCGGATTCTAGAGCCTTCCTAATTCGCAGGCCTGGCCTGCTCTCATCTCTGTCAGCTCTTTTTTTTTTTTTTTTGAAACAGAGTCTCACTGTGTTGCCCACGTTGGCGTGCAGTGGCGCGATCTCGGCTCACTGCAACCTCTGCCTCCTGGGTTCAAGAGATTCTCCTGCCTCAGCCTCCTGAGTAGCTGGGATTACAGGCACCCGCCACCATGCCTGGCTAATTTTGTATTTTTAGTAGAGACGGGGTTTTACCATGTTGGCCAGGCTGGTCTCAAACTCCTCACCTCAGGTGATCTCAGGCCTGCCTTGGCCTCCCAAAGTGCTGGGACTACAGGTGTGAGCCACTGTGCCCAGCCGACTCTATCAGCTCTTGCCAGGTAGAACAGGCAGGCCAGCAGGACAGGGCAGCTCCAGGGTTTGCCCAGGGGCGGCTCAGCTTTTATGAGGCTCCAGTCGTCAGCCCTTCCTCCCGGGGTCCTCCCTGCTCTAAAGCTGCCTCTCCTGTCACCAGCAGTTCAGTGTGGCGGACTGGCTCTGTAAGCTTCACGGCTGCCACGGTCACTTCCCAAGCCTGTCTTCTATCCTATGTGGAAAATGGGGAGAATGAACTGTCCCTCCCAAGGCCTCCTGGTGGGTGGTCAGTCAACCTGAAGGGGGCCAAGACCCCCACCTCTCTGCGTGTGCTCCCTCTGACCGCTCTCGCCTCCCTGCAGGGGCCGCTACCTGGTGGCGCTGGGCCACGCGTACCACCCGGAGGAGTTTGTGTGTAGCCAGTGTGGGAAGGTCCTGGAAGAGGGTGGCTTCTTTGAGGAGAAGGGCGCCATCTTCTGCCCACCATGCTATGACGTGCGCTATGCACCCAGCTGTGCCAAGTGCAAGAAGAAGATTACAGGCGTGAGTAGGGCTGGCTGGCGGGGAGGTGGTCCCAAGCCTGTCAGTGGGAACGAGGGCTGCTGGGAAACCCACAGTCCAGGTCTCTCCCCGAGTGAGCCCTCCGGGTCCTTACCAGCGTAATAAATGGGCTGCTGTACTGGCCTCACCCTGCATTAGTCAGGATGCTCTTAACAAATGACCATGTTCCTGCTCAGAAACCGCCCAAGGCTGCAAAGAGCAGGAGGACCAAGCCAGGAGAAGCCCTGGGCCCTCCTGACTCCCACTTTGGGCTCTCCCTGCCCTGGTGAAATGACAGAACGGCCAACTTGACACGCTGAAGCTGCTCTGTCTCATGCGTCCTCCTCATTTCTGGATCCAGAGCCAGGGCTGCCAGGAGTAGCCAGAGAGCTCTGTGTGGTGATGTTCATATTAGTGAGGTTTACCTTGACCACGAGCAGTGGGAAACTCAAAATAATGGTGGCTTATTTCTCATCTAAAAACATCCCGGGGTGGGTGGTCTGGGACTGATCTGGTGGACCCAGGCTCCGCCTTGTTGCTTGACTGTTGGCAGCACCTGCTTACTTACCACTCATGGTGCAAGATGACACTTCAGCCTCCGCCAAAATGCTCACCTTCCAGCCAGCAGGAAGTCGGAAGGAGAAGAAAGGGGACAGAGCCCCATGGCGTCCATCCTTAGAGGATGCTGCCACCTGAACCTCTGCTTTCATCCTGTTGGTCAGAACCCAGTCACATGACCACACCCAGTGGCAACGGAGGCTGGGAAATATAGTCTTTATTTTGGGCACCCATGTGTCCAGCAAAACTGGGGGTTCCATCAGTCGGCAAGAATGGGAGAGTGGCCGATGCAGTGGCTGATGCTTGTATCCCAGCACTTTGGGAGGTCGAGGTGGGCAGATCACCTGAGGTCAGGAGTTCAAGACCAGCCTGGCCAATATGGTGAAACCCTGTCTCTACTAAAAATAAAAAAATTAGCTGGGTGTGCTGGCGCACCTGTAGTCCCAGCTACTTGGGAGGCTGAGGCAGGAGAATCGCTTGATCTTGAGAGGTGGAGGTTGCAGTGAGCCAAGATTGTGCCACTGCCTTCCAGCCTGGGAGACAGCAAAAAAAAAAAAAAAAAAAAAAAAAAAAAAAAAAAAGGGCCAGGCACGGTGGCTCACACCTGTAATCCCAGCACTTTGGGAGGCCGAGATGGGCGGATCACGAGGTCAGGAGATTGAGACCATCCTGGCTAACACGGTGAAACCCCATCTCTACTAAAAATACAAAAAAATTGGCCGGGCATGGTGGAGTAGTCCCAGCTACTCGGGAGGCTGAGGCAGGAGAATGGCGTGAACCTGGGAGGCAGAGCTTGCAGTGAGCCGAGATCGCGCCACTGCACTCCAGCCTGGGCGACAGAGCGAGACTCTTGTCTCAAAAAGAAAAAAAGAAAGAGAAATCTGCCTCCCAGCCTTGGGCTCCTGCCCTACCAGCCCACACCCCTGGTAGAGCCCCCTCTCCCACCAGCTCAAAGCCCAAGTTCCTTCACTGTGACCTTGTCTGCTCCTCTAAAACAGGCAACACCAGACAGTGAGAAGAGCCAGCCAGACATGGGCAGAAAACCTATTTCTGTGATCTACTGGCTGTGTGAGCAGGGGCTAGTTGCTCTCTCTGGGCCTCACTGAAGAGAAGGGTGGCACTATGCTAGGGCCGGCACGGTTGCAAGGTAGATGTAAGATGGGGTACAGGTGTTGTGGAGGGCAGAAATGCACCATCCGAAGGCTACATGTCCCCCACACTTATGTCTTGCTTGGCCCACACTGTTTCATTTTAAAATCAGTAGCAAACAATTTAAAAAATCAGAAGATTTGCCTGCATGATGCAGTGGCTCATGCCTGTAATCCCAGCACTTTGGGAGGCCAAGGTGGGAGGATTGCTTGAGCCCAGGAGTTCAAGACCAGCATGGGCACCATAGCAAGACCCCTGTTTCTACAAAAAAAAAAAAATTAGAAAATTAGCCAAGTGTGGTGGCATGCACCTGTGGTCCCAGCTACTTGGGAGGCAGAGGGAAAGTGAGATCTCCTGCTTTTTATTTCTTTATGTATAATGATAGGGTCTTGCTCTGTTGCCCAGGCTGGAGTGCAGTGGCATGATCACTGCTCACTGCAGCCTTGATCTCCTGGGCTCAGAGGATCCTCCCACCTCAGCCTCCCAAATAGCTAGGACTAGAGGTGCCCACCAGCATGCTCAGCAGATTTTTAAATCTTTTTGTAGAGATGAGGTTTTGCTATGTTGCCCAGGCTGGTCTCGAACTCCTGGCCTCGAGCGATCCTCCCACCTTGGCCTCCCAAAGCACTGGGATTACAGACGTGAGCCACTGCGCCCAGCAGATTTCTCTTTAACACCTAGATTTCAGCCTGAGCCAGGCAGGCATTCCTGAATGAACCAGTAGTACTGCTCCCAGAAGAAGAGGTCCTCCTCCGTGTGACACAGTCCCCACTTGGCCCTTGCAGGGATTGGATCTGGGATCCCTGGATTTAAACTCAGGGCCATCCTCATAACAGCCTCACAAGGCTGGGATTAGCTTCCCAGTTCACAAGGGAAGAAACCAAGACTTGAGAAGGTCAAGGTCTGGCCAGACCCACACATCTTGGACCCTCATACCGCCTCGAGGCCCCATGCTGCCCTCTGCCTGCTCCAGATGTGAATACTGCTGGCCCTGGCTGGCCCCGGCTGGCCCCGAGGGTCCTAGGGATGAACAGCCCAGCCCAGGGAGAGCTCAGCCCCTTGTGCCTCTGCCCCTTCCCACCTCCTGCGGAGGCCAGTCGACTCACCCACAAAGGGCCAGGCACTGTGGGGATAGATCAGCTAACAAAACAGTTGATGCTTCCTGCCCTTCTGGGCCTTACATTTTGGCTGGAAGAAGAGGGGAGAGGCAGACTGTAAGCAATAAGCGCAATAAGTAGGTTGCCTGGAAGTAATGTTAGATCACGTTACGGAAAACAGGAAAGAGCAGAGCGACAAGTGCTGGGGTGCGTGGTGCAGGGAAGGCAGCTGGCTGCTGCTGGTGTGGTCAGAGTGGGCCCTCATGGAGAAGACTGCATTCGAGCAGAAACTTGAAGGGGGTGAGGGGTGAGCCTAGAGATATCTGGGGCAGAGCAGTCCAGGCAGAGGGGACAGCCGGTGTCAAGCCCAGGACAGGAGTGTGCCTGGTGTGCCAGTTTCAGGCAAGAGGCCAGTGTGCAGAGGCAAGGTGAGAACGCAAGGGAGAGCAGTGGCGGAGACGGTTGGGAACGAGGTCAGACCTGCTGGCCTCCAGCCTCTGCATGGGGCTTGGCTCTTGCTGGGAGCAATGGGAAGCAGTACACAGTTTCATGCAGGGGGAGAAGGCCTGTCTTGGGTTGCAGGGGCACGCTGTGGCAGCTGGGATCAGAGAGAGGAGCTTGTAGGCCAGTTGTTATGTGGTCCCACGGGCCAGATGGCCATGGCTTACCTCACTTCAGGGAGGCTGTGAGAAGCACTCAGAATCTGGATGTGCCTTGGGGGTGGGCCCCACTGGATTTCCTGGTGGACCTGGTGTGGGGTGTGAGAGGAGGGTGTGTTTGGCTGCAGCAGACAGGAGAATGGAGTTGCCATCCGCGTGATGGGGATGGCTGTGGGAGGAGAGGTTTGGGGTGAGGGAATCAGGAACTGAGTGCTGGACATGGCAAGTCTGAAGGCGCAGTGGTCGTCCACTCAGAGACCTTGGAGTTGGAGATGGAGGTGTGGGAGTCCTGAACAGTTAGATGTAGTGTTTACCGCGAGAAGGAACAGGGCTTGCGGCCAGCCCTCCTGTGTTCCCGTGACCCAGGGCAGGGCAGGAGGGGCCTGAGCCTGCCGAGTGACTGGGACCTCCTTCCAGGAGATCATGCACGCCCTGAAGATGACCTGGCACGTGCACTGCTTTACCTGTGCTGCCTGCAAGACGCCCATCCGGAACAGGGCCTTCTACATGGAGGAGGGCGTGCCCTATTGCGAGCGAGGTACCCACTGGCCAGTGAGGGTGAGGAGGGATGGTGCATGGGGCAGGCATGAATCCAGGTCCTCTTTCTCTCTGCCCCCATTCTCAGACTATGAGAAGATGTTTGGCACGAAATGCCATGGCTGTGACTTCAAGATCGACGCTGGGGACCGCTTCCTGGAGGCCCTGGGCTTCAGCTGGCATGACACCTGCTTCGTCTGTGCGGTGAGAGCCCCGCCCCTCGAACTGAGCCCCAAGCCCACCGGCCCTCTGTTCATTCCCCAGGAGATGCAGGAGAAGTTGGGAAGGGGCCTCTCCTGCTGCCCCCAACCCCATGTGACTGGGCCTTTGCTGTCCTTAGATATGTCAGATCAACCTGGAAGGAAAGACCTTCTACTCCAAGAAGGACAGGCCTCTCTGCAAGAGCCATGCCTTCTCTCATGTGTGAGCCCCTTCTGCCCACAGCTGCCGCGGTGGCCCCTAGCCTGAGGGGCCTGGAGTCGTGGCCCTGCATTTCTGGGTAGGGCTGGCAATGGTTGCCTTAACCCTGGCTCCTGGCCCGAGCCTGGGGCTCCCTGGGCCCTGCCCCACCCACCTTATCCTCCCACCCCACTCCCTCCACCACCACAGCACACCGGTGCTGGCCACACCAGCCCCCTTTCACCTCCAGTGCCACAATAAACCTGTACCCAGCTGTGTCTT
This sequence comes from Homo sapiens, assembly GCF_000001405.40. Lineage (NCBI taxonomy): Eukaryota > Metazoa > Chordata > Mammalia > Primates > Hominidae > Homo > Homo sapiens. The sequence goes on along the minus strand of NC_000005.10, from coordinate 177,483,389 downwards.
GTGTGCCCTTCCCCTGTGCATCCGGAGGGGCAGAATTTGAGGCACGTGGCAGGGTGGAGAGTAAGATGGTTTTCTTGGGCTGGCCATCTGGGTGGTCCTCGTGATGCAGACATGGCGGGCTCATGGTTAGTGGAGGAGGTACAGGCGAGACCCCATGTGCCAGGCCCGGTGCCCACAGACATGAGGGGAGCCACTGGTCTGGCCTGGCTTGGAGGTTAGAGAAGGGTAGTTAGGAAGGGTAGTTAGCATGGTGGCTCATGCCTGTGATCCCAGCACTTTGGAAGGCCAAGGTGGGCAGATCGCTTGAGGTCAGGAGTTCGAGACCTCATGGCCAACACGGTGAAACAGCGTCTCTAGTAAAAATACAAAAATTAGCCGAGTGTGGTGGGGCATGCCTGTAATCCCAGCCACTCAGGAGGCTGAGGCGGGAAAATCACTTGAACCTGGGAAGTGGAGGTTGCAGTGAGCTGAGATCACACCACTGCGCGCGAGCCTGGGTGGCAGATGGCAGAGCGAGACCCTGCTTCAAAAAAAAAAAAAAAAAAAAAAAAAGAAGGGTAGTTGTAGTTGGGGGTGGATCTGCAGAGATACGGTGTGGAAAACAGCAATGGCCACAGCAAAGTCCTGGAGGGGCCAGCTGCCGTCCAAACAGAAGAAGGCAGGGCTGGAGAGGGTAGCCCTTAGGTCCTGGGAAGCCACGAGTGCCAGGCAGTAGAGCTGGGGCTGTCTCTTGAGGTTAGGGCAGGGCAAGGCACAGCAGAGTTTGAAATAGGTTTGTGTTGTATTGCAGAAAAGAGGCCCCAGAACACTGAGGGAGTGCAGGAGGGAGGCTGGGAGGAGGAGTTGCAGCAGGGCCTAGGGGCGGGGGCCAGGCAAGGGAGGGGCAGAGAGTAATATGGCAGAGATGGGACCCAGTGGCAGGTCCGGGGGATGAGGGATGGAGAGAAGGACAGGAGCGTTGCCAGGCATCTGGCCTATACCAGACATGCTCACGCTGTCTCCCGCGAACCTCCTAGCAACCTTGCGCCGTTGTCTGCAATCACTTATTTCATTTTTTCTTTTTTAACTTTAATTTTTTTTGTTTTTAAGAGACAGGATCTCCCTAGGTTGCCCGGGCTGGTTTCAAACTCCTGGGCTCAAGCAATTCTTCCTCCTTAGCCCCAAAGTGCTGGCATTACAGGTGTGAGCCACCATGCCTGGCCCACTTATTTTCTAGATGAGGCACAGAAAGATTGGGAGACTTGACCAAGGTCACGCTGTCATTGAGCCATGAGCCAGACTAGAATCCAGGCCTGAAGCTGGGTGCGCTGTCCCAGGACTGGCTGGCACTGAGTACCATTTGCCAGCGAGCATCTCTCTGGGAAGCTGACTTCTGCCCGGTACCTGGAGGACTGTAGACCTTGGTGGTGGCGCCGTCACTCTGGGGCTTCCTGCCTCCCACTGATGCCCGCACCACCCTAGAGGGACTGTCATCTCTCCTGTCCCAAGCCTGGACTGGAAAGACTGAAGAGAAGCCTTAAGTAGGCCAGGACAGCTCAGTGTGCCATGGCTGCCCGTCCTTCAGTGGTCCCTGGCATGAGGACCTGCAACACATCTGTTAGTCTTCTCAACAGGCCCTTGGCCCGGTCCCCTTTAAGAGACGAGAAGGGCTGGGCACGGTGACTCACACCTCTAATCCCAGCACTTTGGAAGGCTGAGGCTGGAGAAGGGCTCCAGCTTAGGAGTTCAGGACCAGCCTGGGCAACATGGTGAGACCCTGTTTTGTTTTGTTTTTTGTTTTTTTGAGATGGAGTCTTGCTCTGTCGCCCAGGCTGGAGTGCAGTGGTGCAATCTCAGCTCACTGTAACCTCCAGCTCCCAGGTTCAAGCGATTCCCCTGCCTCAGCCTCCCAAGTAGCTGGGACTACAGGCTTGCGCCACCACGCCCAGCTAATTTTTTTGTATGTTAGTAGAGACAAGGTTTCACCATGTTAGCCAGGATGGTCTCGATCTCCTGACCTCATGATCCGCCCGCCTCAGCCTCCCAAAATGCTGGGATTACAGGTGTGAACCGCTGCGCCCGGCCTGGTGAGACCCAGTTTCTACAAAATATTAAAACATTAGAGGCCAGGGCTGGGCGCGTTGGTTCACGCCTGTAATCCCGGCACTTTGGGAGGTCAAGGCAGACAGATCGCCTGAGGTCAGGAGTTCCAGACCAGCCTGGCCAACACGATAAAGCCCTGTCTCTACTAAAAATACAAAAATTAGCCAGGCATGGTGGCACACGCCTGTAATCTCAGCTACTCGGGAGGCTGAGGCAGGAGAATCGCTTAAACCCAGGAGGCTGAGGTTACAGTGAGCTTGAGATCGTGCCACTGCACTCCAGCCTGGGGAATAGAGTGAGACTCTGTCTCAAAAAAAAAAAAAAAAAAAAAAAAAAAAATATATATATATATATATGTGGCCAGGCGTGGTGGCTCACACCTGTAATCCTGGCACTTTGGGAGGCCGAGGTGGGCAGATCACCTGAGGTCAGTAGTTTGAGACCAGCCTGGCCAACATGGTGAAACCCCGTCTCTACTAAAAATACAAAAATTAGCCGGGTGTGGTGGTGCATGCCTGTAATCCCAGCCACTCAGAAGGCTGAGGCAGGAGAATCCCTGGAACCCAGGAGACAGAGGTTGCAGTGAGCCAAGACTGCGCCACTACACTCCAGCCCGGGCAACAAAGCAAGACTGTCTCAAAAAAAAAAAAAAAAAATTCAGCTGGGCCTAGTGGTGCATTCTTGTGGTCTCAGCTACTTGGGAGGCTGAGGTGGGAGGATCACTTGAGCCCAGGAGGTTGAGGCAGCAGTAAGCTGCCCTCCAGCCTGAGCAACAAAGCGAAACCCTGTCTCTTTTTTAAAAAAAAAAAAAAGGGAGAGAGAGACAAGAAGGGTCTCTGCTGTGTTCTCTCTTGGAATCCTGGAGAATGAGTGCAAAGCTTCGTGTGTGATTTTCATGTTTTTTTTTTTTTTCTGCCTGCCTCGGCCTCCCAAAGTGCTGGGATTACAGGCATGAGCCACCGCACCCAGCCTCGTGTTATTTTCATGATGCCTTGCCGGAGTGACTTTATGTCAGTGCCTGGCATATAGTGGATGCCCAGTAAGTGTTTGTTGAATGATCACGAGGCACCTGTGGGACATTTAGGAGACACATTCAGGAAACAGCTGAAGATTCAAGTCTGGATTCACCTCCACTTCAATTCGGGAATGAATTTGAGACAGGCTCAGGGCAGTCAACATAAATGCTGGTCACTGAGGCCTAGGGAGAGCCAGGAGCAGGGCCCACGCAGGGAGCATCAGGGGTCAAGCAGATGGGATGTGGTTTTCTTTCAACCTGGACATCCTTGGCATGTTAACCACAGAGTAGCTTTCACTTCCACAAGGAAATGTGCTCTCTCCCACTTCTCTTGAACTGTGAAGCCCTCTCCGTCCGTCCTCGGTTCCCATGGATACAAGCGAGAAGGGCACAGGGACGGATGGTAACTGTAGCCGGGAGCCCGTCTGGGAACGCCGAGCAGCACGGCCAGATCTGCCAGTTTATCGACAGCGTCCAGAGGTTCAGATTTGTATGTGAGATCTGGTGTTTGAATATTGGCAACTACATTAGATTTTTTTTTTAATCCTATTAGAAAAATAACAAATGTGGGCCAAATCCAGCATGAGGACGGCCAGGGCCCAGCATAGTGAGGAGGTGAGACGCCGGAACACCAGCATCACAGCACTGGGCAGGAACAGCACGGCCAGGGCAGGAGGACAACAACCTCCAGGGAAGGGGCAAGGAAGCCTGGACAGGGCAAGAGCGTGTCAAGAAGCTGCCGACAATGTCAACCAGGCAGATAAGGCCGAGGAGTCCCTCGTGGCATTTCACAACAAGGTGACATTTGCCAGATCAGTTTAGCCGAGCTGGGGCGGCTGCCAGGGTTAAAGAGGAACAAGGCGGGAGGGTGGGGAGGATGTGGAAGGAGAGAGTGCAGACAGCTCTTTTAAGAGGTTTGGCTGTGGTGGGCCAAGATGACCGCCAAGCTCAGCTGAGAGGCCAGGGTGTGGGTGGCGGGAGAGGCCTGGGAGGCATCTGCTGGAGGATGGTGGGAGAAGATGGGAGAAGTTGGGAGGGGGCCGTAAGGAGAGAGTGGGGTGAAGGGCAGGGGCAAATGCAGAACCGTGGAGCTGGAGCTGGCCTAGAGTGGGGCAGGAGCAGGTGCCAGGCACCTCCTTGAAACAGCCACCCTCACTCCGTAGGCCGGAAACATGATGCAATCACATGTCATTTAATCATCATAACACCTTTGAGAACACATTATTACAGGCATGTTTCAGATGAGGGTACTGAGGCTCAGAGAGGATCAGTGACTTGTACAGAGTCACCCAGATGGAATGGCCTGGACTGCCACTCCAAGGATCAAAGGCCAAAGTGTTCCCTGCTGACCCACCAGCACTCCCCAGCTCCTCTCATGCGTCCCCCATCACCTGGGCTCCCATCCAGACTTTGCCGCTCCACCAGCTGTGTGCCTCCGGGCAAGACACAACCCTTCTTTGAGCCTTGGTTTCCCCATCTGTCAAATAATAGCAGCTGGGCACAGTGGCTTACACCTGTAATCCCAGCACTTTGGAAGGCCGAGATGGGTGGATCACCTGAGGTCAGGAGTTCAAGACCAGCCTGGCCAACATGGTGAAACCTCATCTCTACTAAAAATACAAAAATTAGCCAGGCGTGGTGGCGGGCGCCTGTAATCCCAGCTACTCAGGAGGCTGTGGCAGGAGAATTGCTTGAACCCAGGAGGTGGAGGTTGTGGTGCGCTGAGATTGCGCCACTGCACTCCAGCCTGGGTGACAGAGTGAGACTCCGTCTCAAAAAAATAATAATAGCAACCACAAGCTGCAAAGATCACAGTGTTCCGAAGCTGGGGTGCAAGGCTGTGCGGGGGGAGGCCATGGGGACCGGGAAGTAAATGTCTTCGTGCCAGGCAGGAGAGGCCATTAGCACCCTTGGAGGGGGCAGAGCCCATGGCAGGGGGCTGAGTGGGTAACTGGAGAGGCAGCAGGCAAGGGAGGGGTTTTTCCCAGCTCAGAATGGCTTGAGCTCATTTGGATCAGCAGGGAGAGAGGCGGTGGAGGGCGAGGAACTGTTTTGCCAGAGTACAGAGGCAGGCCCTCATGATTCTGCCACTGCCTCCTCAGTGCAGGGCCCCACATGGCCTTGGTACACACATAAGGTACACACACCATCCTCAGACTCTCCAGGTGGCCCTGCCACAGGAAGGGAGCTGAGGCCCTGGGCTAAAGGGCTGGCCACAGGTCGCCCTTTGAACTTGAGACTGCCTAAATCCAAAGCTGACCCTGAGACTGGAAGAAGAACCCCTCCCAACGGAGGCCTTAAAGGAAGGAGGGGAGGGGACCAGGGTTCCGGGGGTCATGGTGGAACAAGAACAAGCTCGCTGACTGACAGCCTGGGGGAACTCAGGACACCAGCACCAGCCACTTGGGAGATTGTGCGGGGGGAGCCACTTCTGAGCCAGTGAGGACCCCAGGACCAGCCTGGGCCCTCCCGCTCAGGTTTTTGGAGTACTGGAAGATCAACTGAGATTTCACCCAAGTTTCTTGCCACTGACAAAATGACCACTACTTGGGTACGAGGCAGATTAGGTAGGCCTCTCAGCTGCAATTCAAGCTAGTGTAAGCAAAAACGGGGATAATTGAACTGAAAAAGTGAATGGCTTCAGACCTGGCTGGATCCAGGTACCCATGGCGGCTACCGGGACCCTCTCTCATGCTCTCCACCTCTCGGCTCTGCTGTCCTCAATGCTGGCTTCATTCTCAGAAGGCTCTCCCCACTGTTGGCAAGGATGGCCCCCAGCAGCTCCAGGCCCATACCTGGCCAGCTCAGCAGCCCCAGCGGACAGAGGGAGCCTTTCTTTTCTTTTTTCTTTTATTTTTTATTTATTTATTTATTTTGAGATGGCGTCTCGCCCTGTGGCCCAGGCTGGAGTGCAGTGGTGTGATCTCAGCCCACTGCAACCTCCGCCTCCCGGATTCAAGCGTTTCTCCTGCCTCAGCCTCCTGAGTAGCTGGGACTACAAGCATGCAACACCAGGCCCAGCTAATTTTTGTATTTTTAGTAGAGACAGGGTTTCACCATGTTGGCCAGGATGATCTTGAGCTCTTGACCTCGTGATCTGCTCGCCTCGGCCTCCCAAAGTGCTGGGATTGCAGGCGTGAGCCACCGCTCCCGGCAAGGGAGGCTTTCTTAATGGCGCCAGCGAAAGTCCGAGGGCCAACGCCCATTGGACTAACTTGGGTCATGTGTCTGTCTCTGAAGTAGTCACTGGGTCTGACCCTTCCTGGCTTGGACGACATACTCCTGTTTAGAGCTGAAAGTGGAAAGTCTGCCAGAAAACGGGAGGCGGAGCAGGCCTGGCAGGGAGGTCCATGGCACTTCCTCCCCTCATGCCCAGGGCCCCGCCCCCGACTCCACTCCCAGACCTCAGAGCTGGAGCATCTGCAACTTCTGATCAGACTCCAGCCCACCTCACCCCTGCATGCAGAAATAGGGGTGCTACAAGGGGAAGCGGGGAGGGTGTGTGGGGTACCGAAATGACCTGGGACAGACCTGGGTTCCCATTCAGACTTTGTGTCTGAATGGGACACAAAGCTGTGTGTCTCCGGGCAAGTCACTGACTCTCTCTGGGCCTCAGTATTCCCATCTGTAAACTAATAATAACAATCAACACATTGACAGCACCTACTATGTCCTGGTCTCATTTTAAGCACTTCCTAGATACTTTTTGAAAATCCTCAAACTGACCCTAGGAGGTAGGTACCATCACTATCACCCCCATATTACAGTTGAAGATGAGTGATTCAAGATAGGTCAGGCACCAAGCTCAAGGTCACACCATTAGCAATAGACTCCTCAGGAGCAGAGCTAATGTGAATGAACGTGGCTGGCCCGGCGCCGGGGGCAGATACCTGGGAACAGCCATGAGCTTTGTGATGATCAAGGGGCAATCTGTGTGTGTGCTTGGTGGGATCTTGCAGAGGTTGGAAGAGGCCAGAGAAGACTCCACCAGCTCTTGCTGAAAAAGTCTTGCAGCCTCCCCTCAGCCCTAAAACCTTCCCGGAGAGGTGTGGGGGAGCACAGAACAGGAAGGTGGGGGTGGAGGGAGGAGGGTGGGGCTGTGAGGAGGGAGGGAGGGAGGGGGTTCTCCTTCTAAGCCTCCATCCAGTCCCATTTTATTCTCACAACAGGTTATCAAAAGGAAACTCAGAGAGGGGAAGTGTTTCAGCCAAGGTCACACAGCAAAGGCCCAGTTTCTGGATCTCAGTCCTCCCTTGTCTCATCTTTTCCACTCTGGGGATCCAGAAGTCATTGGCCCAGCCTCCCGCTGTGTGTAGGGGGAGCTCATGCTCTGGGGGTGGGAGAGACCGACCTGTCAGTGACTTGAAGGGTGATCGGTTTGGGGGTGGCAGACACGAAGTCCTGGTAGGAGGAACCCACCAGCCTCCCACCCACCAAGGCTGAGTGTGTGGGCTTCAGGGGCAACAGCAGCTGAAAGGAGGCAGGTTCTCAGAGGACAGTGACCAGTGGCCACCCACTCCCACCAGTCAGGGCAACTGAGAACTATGGGTCCACTGAGTTTGGCAAGTTAGGGGTTACTGGTGACCTTGGCCAGAGCAGTGCCAGAGAAAATGCGGGGAGGAGGAGACAGAGGACAGATGTCTGTCTGCATCCTATAGAAATGAGGGGATGAAGATAACCTGGAAGGGTGACGGGTGCGGAGACCAGGGGAGTGGGCTCTAGGGCATGCCAGCAGGGAACACCCTTGCTTCCCTGAAAATAGGGAAAACTGAGTGCAGGGTGTATGGGAACTCTCTATACTATCTTTGTAACTTTTCTGTAAATCTAACACTGTTCTAAAATAGAAAGTTTATTTAAAAATGTTGATGGCAAGAGGTGAGAGTGGGCGTGGCTGGAGAGTTTGTAGGTGGCTGGTGGGGAGGCAGGAATTTGAGGAAGGAAGAGCTTAGATGCATTTAGGGCTTCTGTTTTTTGGATGCAAAATTGAGTGTGCAGGAGGCTGGGGGGTGAGGGGAGCGGGGGGGGCGAGGAGCTGTGAGCTAGGACAAATCAAAGGAAGCTGGAAGAGGCTGAGGCCACAGATGCTCATGGCCAGCCATCTGCTGCCCCTCCCCGGCTGCAGGGTCTCCCTCCTCACCAGAATCAGGCTCTTCATGCCTAAGGGTGGGGGATGGCTGAAGCTCTGTCCCTCCATGGCTCTCCCCACTTCCCTTCCCCACCATGTGTCACCCACTCCCTTAGGGATCCCCATGGCAGGCCAACCACACCTACTGGCCAGTTGGTCTAGGGCACAGGGCCTGGCTGTGTCCCTGCCTGGGTGCCTCACTCTAGTGGTGGCCATGGAGAAATTGCCATGGCCTGTGGTCCCTAGACATAGTGGGCACTGACTTCCCAAGGCAGGGGCCTGTGAGTATTTTGAGTTTTAAGAGGGTTCTCCCAACTCCAAAGCGCCAGGAACACTGCCACATAGGCAGCCCTGCTCTCCTTCTCTTGGCATAGCCAATTACCCAACGCAGAACTCGGAGGCCTGGCTAGAACCACCTCCTCCTCCGCGGTGCGGTTGGGACCAGGTGAAGTTTGCTCAGGGAGGTCGAGGTTGGAGGCTTTGTAGTGGTGGAAAAGGCTTCTAAGCGCTGTGGACGGTTTCAGGGTCCCAACCTAGCAAGGAACGGAGTTCTGGAAGGCCCTGGCATGGTGTCCACTCCCTTGCAGGGGGTACTTTTCTGAGGCCCCCTCCCGTTCTGTGCTTAGAGCTTTAGGAGATAAAGGTGCCAAGAGGCTGGCCCTGAGCGTCCTTGGAGGAGCCCTGCCGTGGGAGTCTGGGGTTAGATGCTGCTTCCGGAACTCTACTTGGGACTCCTCTGGGAGGCGTGAGGCTTGAGAGAGAATGCAAAGGATCTCCTAGCTGGCCCCATCTGAGAGGGCACAGGCGTGGAGGGGAGGAGAGGCCTGGAATGGAGGGATAATGAGCTGGGTAGGGGCTGAGAATGGCCTGGAATAAGTGGTCATGGAGCCGAGATGGGGGGCTGTGGTTGGGAATTGGGAACTGGGATCAGGATGAGACTGGGATGGGTTGGACTGAAGATGTGCCGTGACACATGTTGGGGGGGACACGTGCTAAGCATGGGGCTGAAGCTGGGATGGGAAAGCAACTGGGGTGGATTTGAGGGTGGGATGCAGATGACAGTGGATATGATGGGATAGACTAGGCAAGGACCTCTCAGGGAAAGGAGACGGGCCAGGGGTGGGGTGTTGTGTGAGCTGGGTTGGGATGAAAATGGGTTTAACATGAGGTGGGACGCACCAGGAATGGAGATCAATGAAGCAATGGGTGGGGCGGAACCGGATTGGGACGGGGGGTGGGCGGGGGGAGGTGGGGACGGGACTGGGTTCGGGGCTGGAAGGAGGGCTAGCGCCGAGGTTACGGACGGGGCAGGTGAGGGTTCGGGACGTGGGTGGGGCTGGCCCTGGAGCGGCGCGCAGGGGCGGTGGGTGAGGGGCGCCCGGGGCAGGCCGGGAAGGGGGGGCGGGCCTCCCCCTGGGCCGGGCCGGGGCGGCGCTAGGACCGAGCGAGCGGAGGGAGCGAGCCGGGCGGAGCCAGCGCCCCCCGCCCCCCGCCGGCCGGCTCCCCTCCCCCGGCCGCTGGCTCGCTCGGCTCGCGACGCTGCAGAGGCTCCGAGGCGGCGGCGGCGACTCCCTCTTTCCCTCCCTCCTCCTCCGTCCGCCCGTCCGTCCGCGCGTCTGTCCGTTCGGCCCGGTCCGGCCCGAAGCATGGCCGGCGTCAGCTTCAGCGGCCACCGCCTGGAGCTGCTGGCGGCTTACGAGGAGGTGATCCGAGAGGAGAGCGCGGCCGACTGGTGAGCCCCCCGCCCCCGCCCCCGGCCCCTTTGTCCCCGCGCCGCCGCCGCGCCTTTGTTTCTCTCCCGCCCCGCCGCCCCGCCGCCGGGAAGGGAGGGGGACCCCGAAATGGTGCAGCGGGCCGGGAGGGCCGGGAGGGGCTGCCTTTGTGCGCGCCGGGGGAGGGGCCGGCGGGCCAGGCGGGGCACTGCCGGGCCCCGAGCGCCCGGAGGCGGCCCAAGGCGCGCGGTGGGAGCGGCGGCCGGACGCGGCCCGGAGGCGCGGGGTCCCGATGTGGGGCCCGGGGCCGCGTGGCCCTGCGGGAGCCCATCCCCCACCCTACCCCCCGGGCCCGGGGGACAGGTGTGCACGGGGCGGCCAAGGGCACCTTCGCCACCTTCGAGCGGGCGAGGTCCGGGCGGGGACGGGGCGGGGACCGAGCTAGCGGAGCCAGCGCAGCCTGCCCGGCTCAGCCCGGCCCGGCCACAGCACAAAGGAAAGCGAGGGCGGGGGAGGAGCGGAGCGGGCTGGGGGCCGGGCGCCCCGCCCACCGGGGGGCCTCTCGGAGTGGGCCGCCCTCCCCCCGAAACCTGGGCTGGAGTGAGGTGGAAGGATGTTTGCTGCCACATGGCGACCGCGAAGTGACTCCCTTACCGCCGCGGGTCGCGGAGGAGGCAGGGGTGAGCTCTCCTCCCCTACCTGAAGGGGACTGCGGGGACTAGGCAGCTGGGCTGGGGGGCACCGAGCTGCCTAAGGGGCCAGCTGAGATCCCTGGGAGGAAGCCCTCTGGAGAACAAGTGTGGAGGGAGCCCCCAAAGACGGCTGAAGGGGTGAACAGATCCACCGGCCCCCAGCAAGGGGCACTCGGTCCCTGATGGGGGAGGAGCTGGGCCGCCCCTCACCCCGCCCCCCAGCTGTTGTCTCCCGCTGAGCTGGGGGAGGGGATGGACCACCTGCTCTGGGGCTGGCGGCCCAGGGTGGTGGAAAAAGGAAACCGAGGGGTTCCTCACAGCCCCATCCTGGAATCCTTTAACCCCCCCGTAATACTCTTCTTCTAGGGAAGGTGCCCATCTGGTTCCTAGGCCTCCTCTCCCTGCTGGCAGATGGGAACAGGTTCTTCTTGAGGAAACTGAGGCAAAGAGGAGGGCAGGTCTGAGGGACCCCGCTTGGGCTGGCCTCACCCGCACACTGGGAGGGCAGCCAGGTGGGGACTCTGACCTGGGGGCTTCTGGAGGAGAGGATGAGATGGCTGGGCATCCATGGCATGGTACTGCAGCACTGGCCAGCAGCCAGGCCTGGAGGGATGGACGCGAGAGACAAGCTCTCGTGTCCTGCAGGTCAGTCACAGGAGAGGCCGGCACAGGCTCAGCAGGCAGGCGGCCCACCCATTGTCCCAGCCCTGCCCCAGGGGGGCTGAGATCATGGGAGGAGCTCTGGGCAAGTGGCCGGCTTGGCCTGGTGAAGGAGCTGGCTTTGGGATAAGGCCCCGCCTGGGGAGAAGCACAGCTCACCCCAGAACACCTCCTTTGCCCTCCAGCCTGGAGGGGTGTTGTCTACCAACACCCCATTTTCTCCTAAAAGCAGAGCTCTGGTGGCCTATTGCCAAGGCCACACAACCCCTGTTGCCCCACATCCTGCTCAACACAGGCCTGCCCCCACCCACCCCAGCAGCATCCGTGTGGCCAAAGCGAGTTATTCATCACTGGTGTGCGTCAGCCCCCATCTGGGTTGTGTGTGGGACACACACAGATGCACACATGTACCCTCGCACATGCACACATTCGTTCACTAAGGGCCCAGATAACATTTTGAAAAAGGGGTGTGAGGATCACTTTCTACACAAGAGAATATGAATACCCCAGGGCCCAGCATGGAACCAGGGGTGCAGTGAGGTCTGAAGACTCAGAGGCAGACCCTGCACATAGGTCCAGAGGGAGGGGTGTCTTGGGTAAATTGCTGTCTGCCCCCCGACCCTTACCTTGCCTCCAATGGGGAGGGGTGGTTGGGGGAGTTCACTCCTAGGTGGCAGGGCCTCTGAAGTGCACCACTACTCTGGCACAGGGAGCAGGGGACCCAGGAAATGAGGTTGTGTGGTGGGAAGGGCCACTGTTGTCCTGGTTGTGATATGACTCACTGTGATCATACACAAGTTCCTGGTCCTCTTGGAAAGAAAAGGGATTGGGCCCAGCACTACCTCGGATACTGAAGGCCTTTCTAGCACCACCATCCTGAGAGTGATGGTCCTGCGGGGTCCACCTGCCCTCAGCCCCCGACTCCAGCTCACCCTCCACCCCAGCTCACCCCCCATCCCAGCTCACCCCAGGGTCTCTGGAACTGCCACATTCCAGCTCCCACCTCACGCTAGTTCAGTTTATCTGGCTAGATGGCTTTTGAGTTGGTGTCAATATCACACATACTTCTGGTATGCGGTGTGCTGGACCCCAGGACCCAGAGAGCAGGATGTGCTGATTGACTGAGTCAGCGTTCCTGCCTTCACCAGGCTTACAGCTGGGGGCAGTGTCTGTCTCCAGGAGTTGGAGCTGGTGAGATGTGTAGATGCCTGGTCGCCTACCCCATCCTGATTCCCTGTGGTTTCGCCAGCTTCCACCTGGTGCACCACCAGGCTCGGGGTGCCTCTGATGTGGTTGAGAAGCACTGGTCTTTGTATTCCTGCTGGGATATGGTGGGTGCTCTGGGAGGGGCAGCTCAGGAGAGGCTGCTGGGGGCCAGCACTGGGCTCTGAAGAACGGAAGCATTCCACTGGGAATAGGCGTGGGGTAGAGGAGCAGGTCTTGCCTTCCACGTGAAGAGAACTACATAGGCAGAGGCTTCAGGGTGAGCCCTGTCCAGAACCCTGCTTGGGTCAGGGAGCCGTCCAGTGTGTCCCAAGTGTGTGGTGTGGACAGGGTGGTCCAATGGAAAGGCAGGCTGGAGGGTTTGAACTGGGGTATGGTTTCTGCTGGGGGAGAGCTGCGGCTGGAGCAGGAAGAGGTGGCCGGAGGTGGGGAGCCAGGGGCTGAGGATGGAAGGCACCCCGGGGAGCCTAGGCAGGCCAAGACAGGTCCTCTCAGAGGGAGGCTTGATGTCTACAGCAGTCTCTAGGAACTAGGGTCCCTGGGCTCTGCATTAGTTTCTCATCAGTGCATGGAGAGAGACAGAGCCTGCTTCTCCCAGGGCCCTTTGTTCCCGTGGTGGGTTAGGGCAGCAGGACAGGTGGTGGGCCAGCTGTGCTGGAAGCATCTGTCAGGGCCAGGCTGGGGCTGGGGGTAACAGTTGGACCAGGAGCTCCCAGCCCCACAGCCCACCTGTGTTCCTTCCTGGAGGTAGGAAGCCGGGAATCCAGGAAGGGGAGGGGCTGAGGCCATTTGGCCCTGGCCACAACCTCCTGAGACGTCCCCTCCATCCCTCCCGCCTTCATTTCCTTTGTCCCTTCACTTCTGTCCTTTCTCTTCTTCCTCCTCTCCTGGTTTCTCCCTCTGCTTCTCCCCTCCTCTTTCTCTTCTCCCTTGCCCTCCCTTTCTGCCTCCCCTCCTCACAGCCCCAGCCTCCTGCCTTGGCACCTGGGGAATAGGAGTTTGGAGAAGGGGTTGAGAGCCCTTTCAAACTTCAGGGACAAGGCCCTTCCTCCTAGGCCCCGGCTCTCCTCCCTCCCAGAGGGTCCTCAGCCTGGGCCTGCATGGGGTGATGGAGGAGGCATCTCTGCCTTCCCTTCTGTGCAATGGTTGCTCTGTCACCGCAGCCTATCAAAAGGAGCCAGGGCACACAAAGCTAGGGAGGAGGAGGAAGGAGGAAGGCCACCAGGTCAGCTTTCTGTTAGAGCTCAGACAGAAGGAAAGGCCAGCAGTCTCAGGAAGCCTCAGCCAGGACTGAGGCAGCCTAGGGGCTGGAAGGCCTGGAGCTCAGGCTTGGCCACCCCGGGGCCAGAGTCTGGGCGAGAGTGACTGCAGTGACCTCATCCCCATTTCAGAGAGGCGGAGATTGAGGCTGAGGGCGGGTCCCCAGGGTCCTTTGTGTTCAAGGAGAATGCAGTTGGGGTGGGCCAGTCGTGTGCCAATTGCAGGGTTGCCATGGTTACTGGGGGATGCCCAGAGCTGTTGGGAGCACCAGGTTCTCTCTTCTCCTCCTCCCTCCCCGGGGGAGGGGCAGCGGGGACCAAGGCACGTGCCAGGTAAGTTCCTGGCACTAGCCAATGGGGGATGAGGATCCTGGTAGCCAGGGAACGGTAACCAAGGAACCGTCGCCTTGGAATCTCCATCACACACCCGCTCCACTGGGTTGTAGGCTGCCAGGGCCAGGGCCGGGATGCTGCGCACTGAGCTCGACCAGCCAGCAATTTCTCCCCTCACTGCCTGCGCCCCCCTGACCCAGGCCTCCAGCAGTACCCTGCTGGGCTCCCGCCTGAACCGATGCCTGGCCCTGTTGTCATGGCTACAGCAGGAGCCCTCCCCGTTCCTGTCCTACCCACTCCATGTCCCTCTCCCTCCCCAGAGCCGTCCCCACCCAGAATTGGCGGCCTGGGCCCTGACAGTTTGACAGCCACCCCTCCCTCTCCCCAGGGCTCTGTACACATATGAAGATGGCTCCGATGACCTCAAGCTTGCAGCATCAGGAGGTAGGAATTCCAGCCATTCCCTCGCCGCCTTCTCCACCCCCTCCTCCTGGTTGTTTTCTTCCCCACCCACCTGGCTGTAGGCCACCTCCCTGCCTGCACCCTGCAGCCCCACACTTGTCTGGATCTGGCGGGTGTCCTTCCTCCAGTCATCCCTGTGTCCCCAGGGTGGGGAGGAATCTCAGAGCCTTGTTGAATGTTGGACTTCTGAGGCTGAGCCTCCAACAGGGAAAGTGACTTATCTGAAGCCACACAGCTGGGACACTTTGGGGGAAGGGCCCTATTCACCGCCTTCCCCAGAGCCAGAAGGCTTGATTGTGCCTCTGGGCACTGGCACCTGGTGAGACATGATGATGTGTGAAGAATGAGACCTGAGTGTGAAGAACAAACACTTCCTCAGTCCTACCCCCAAATCAGGCCCTGCAGGAGTCACAGGCAAAGCTACATCCCTGTGCGCCACCACCCCCACACATACCAACACAAAACTGGGACCCACAGACCCCAGAGGCCAGAAGACCCCTGGGGGTGCCTGTGGAGGCCTGGAGGAGTCTTTGCTTTGAGTTCCAGGCTCTTTTTGGGAAGGGTTTAGGAGGCAGAGAGACCTGACACTCTCCTGATTACCCTAGAAGGGGGCTTGCAGGAGCTTTCGGGACACTTTGAGAACCAGAAGGTGATGTACGGCTTCTGCAGTGTCAAGGACTCCCAAGCTGCTCTGCCAAAATACGTGCTCATCAACTGGGTATGCGGCCGGGGCTGGGGAAGGGGGCTGAGGGCCCAGAGCTGCTCATCAACTGGGTATGCGGCCGGGGCTGGGGAAGGGGGCTGAGGGCCCAGAGCTGCTCATCAACTGGGTATGCGGCCGGGGCTGGGGAAGGGAACTGAAGGCCCAGAGCAGTCGCCCTCCCCGTCGGCCCTCTGACACCCGTGGAGAGGGAAGCCCACCCTCTTCCCACCCCGGGGAAGATGCACCCTATCGTGTAGGGCCCCCCTTGTCCTTTCCTGACCCCCTCTTTGCTGGGTACTTTGCAGGTGGGCGAAGATGTGCCTGATGCCCGCAAGTGCGCTTGTGCCAGCCACGTGGCTAAGGTGGCGGAGTTCTTCCAGGTGCGTGTCAGGGGCCAGCGCTCTTGGGGGTGGGGACAGCCACCAGGGTCTGCGTGCTGGGGTGGGGATGGCGGGAGGATGGTGCCGCCTGAGCACTGCCGTCTTCTTGCGGAAGGGTGTCGACGTGATCGTGAACGCCAGCAGCGTGGAAGACATAGACGCGGGTGCCATCGGGCAGCGGCTCTCTAACGGGCTGGCGCGACTCTCCAGCCCTGTGCTGCACCGACTGCGGCTGCGAGAGGATGAGAACGCAGAGCCCGTGGTTAGTGTGTGTTTGGCACCCGTGGGCTCTGCCTGCGTGGCCTGGTGCCCGAGTCTGGCCTGCCCGGTCCCTCTTAGCTCTCACCCTTTAGGTGTCGGGGGTTCCTGGGGCATTCAGCCTGCTTATGCTGGGTCCTTCGACACTGCAGGGCACCACCTACCAGAAGACGGATGCAGCTGTGGAAATGAAGCGGATTAACCGAGAGCAGTTCTGGGAGCAGGCCAAGGTATGGAACCCTGAGCCCGGCCTGGCTGAGCCACCCCTCATGGACCCCATGGGGCAGGTCTGAGTCCCTCACTGCAGTGGCATGGCCCATGCCACGTGCCCCGCCCCCAGCGCTGGGTTAGGGAGGGGCTGGAGGGGCAGGGTCCAGGCGCCTAGGCTCGGGGCCTACCCTTGTTCGCACCGGGGCTTGCAGAAGGAAGAAGAGCTGCGGAAGGAGGAGGAGCGGAAGAAGGCCCTGGATGAGAGGCTCAGGTTCGAGCAGGAGCGGATGGAGCAGGAGCGGCAGGAGCAAGAGGAGCGCGAGCGGCGCTACCGGGAGCGGGAGCAGCAGATCGAGGAGCACAGGTGAGCCTGCCCGCCCGGAGCGCTCCAGGGGCCCCCGGGCGCACCCTGACGGGTGCTGGCTGCTTATCGTTCCAGGAGGAAACAGCAGACTTTAGAAGCGGAAGAGGCCAAGAGGCGGTTGAAGGAGCAGTCTATCTTTGTAAGTTCTTTGCCAAGGCTCCCGGTCTCTGGGTCAGGGAAGTGAGAATGGTCCCTGTGTTCCTGGGCCTTGTGGGGAGATCAGTGGCTCAGGGACAGTGGTGGCTGTTCTGGGGAGCTGCATGGGCACAGGGTGCCATGGAGCATGAGGCCTGGCACCTCATCACGTGGGGCTCTGGCCTCTGGCCGTGGAAAAAGACTACTTTGGAGAAGCTTGTGCTCTAGATTGGAAGAGAAACTCCATCTAGACCCAGACCCTCACTGACCAGGCTCCCCCTCCCCTGCCCTGGGGTTTCTCGGCGATTAGACACTGTTCTGCACTCTGAGGGGCCACAGGAGTGAGGCAGGCGGCATGGGTGAGCCTGGGCCAGTGCTGAGCATCTGCAGGCAGTGTGTACCATCTCCTTGGGAGCAGCATCTCCCTGGGAGCAGCCCCTTTGTTCCAGGGGTACTGTCTGAATCTCCACACATTGGGAATGGCCCGTAGGTCCTGTGGATTGGTCCCTGAGAATCACAGCAGAGTCACATCTCCATGCTTTGAATTTAGTATTTTGGAAATAGCTAATGTCATTCAGGACTGAGCATGGCTCAGTTCAGGAAGGGAGGTGGGTTGATACTCATCTGGATTGGGACTGTAATGGGCAGATGCATGGCTGTGGGGACTCAAACGGGCTCCGGAGTCACCCACAGGAGGCTGAGAGAGAGGAGGCAAGACAGTCCTGCAGGCAGCAGCATTAAGTCACTCCAGTCACATCTGCCCTTGGATGGGGTGGGGATGATGTGTGGCTGGTAAGCTCCATCCTCAGTCATTCATTCAACACACACCTGCCACCTGCCACATAAAGAACATGGTGGAGAACGAGCTGGGTAAGATCTTTTTTTCATAAGTTGATTCATGTATTTTTTTTTTTTTTTTTTGAGATGGAGTCTCACTCTGTCGCCCAGGGTAGAATGCAATGGCGTGATCTTGGCTCACTGCAACCTCCATCTCCCAGGTTCAAGCGATTCTCCCGCCTCAGCCTCCTGAGTAGCTGGGATTACAGGCGCACACCATCATGCCTAGCTAATTTTTGTGTTTTTGTAGAGACTGGGTTTCACCATGTTGGCCAGGATGGTCTTGAACTCCTGACCTCGGTTGATCTGCCCGCCTCGGCCTCCCAAAGTGCTGGGATTATAGACGTGAGCCACCGCGCCTGGCCACATGTATGTAACTGTGGCAAAATACATAAAATGTACCATTTCAGTCATTTTAAAATCTGCATTTCATTAAGCGGCATTAAATTCATTCACATTGTAGGATAACCACCACCACCATCCATTAAACACAAATTCTGCCCTTCCCCACTCGCCAGCTCCTGGCAACGACCATTCCACTTTCTGTCTCTATGAAGTTGACTACTCTGGAGACTGCCTATCAGTGGAATCGCACGGTGTTTGTCCTTTTGCGTGTGGCTTATTTCACTTAGCATGATGTCCTTAAGATTCATCCATGTTGTAGCATGCATCAGAATTTCCTTCTTTTTGAAGGCTGAATCATATTCCATTGTATGGATATACCACATTTTATTTATCCTTTCAGAGTGAGGTTTTTTAAAATTTTTTTATTTTTTAAATTTTTTTGAGACGGAATCTCGCTCTGTCGCCCAGGCCGGAGTGCAGTGGCGCCATCTCAGCTCACTGCCAGCTCCGCCTCCCAGGTTCACACCATTCTCCTGCCTCAGCCTCCAAGTAGCTGGGACTACAGGTGCCCGCCACCACGTCCGGCTAATTTTTTGTATTTTTAGTAGAGACGGGGTTTCACCATGTTAGCCAGGGTGGTCTCGATCTCCTGACCTCATGATCTGCCCACCTCAGCCACCCAAAGTGCTGGGATTACAGGCGTGAGCCACTGCACCCGGCCTGCCTCCCAGGTTTAAGTGATTTTCCTGCCTCAGCCTCCCAAGTAGCTGGGATTACAGGCGCCCACCACCACGCCTGGCTAATTTTTGTATTTTTAGTAGAGATGGGGTTTCACCATGTTGGCCAAGCTGATCTTGAACTCCTGACCTCAGGTGATCCACCCGCCGGCCTCACAAAGTGCCGGGATTACAGGCATGAGCCACCGCACCCAGCAGATAAAGTTTATTATTTATTTATTTATTTATTTATTTATTTATTTATTTATTTATTGTCTTTTTAGTAGAGATGGGGTTTCACCATGTTGGCCAGGATGGTCTCGATCTCTTAACCTCATGATCTGCCCTCCTCGGCCTCCCAAAGTGCTGGAATTACAGGTGTGAGCCACCTCACCCAGCCAAGTTTATTTATTTATTTATTTTTATTTTTTTGAGACAGAGTCTTGCTCTGTCGCCCAGGCTGGAGTGCAATGGCACAATCTCAGCTCACTGCAACCTCTGCCTCCTGGGTTCAAGCGATTCTCTTGCCTCAGCCTCCTGAGTAGCTGGGATTACAGGCGTGCACCACCATGCCCAGCTAATTTTTGTATTTTTAGTAGAGACAGGGTTTCACCGTGTTGGTCAGGCTGGTCTCGAACTCCTGACCTCGTGATCCACCTGTCTCGGCCTCCCAAAGTCCTGGAATTACAGGCGTGAGCCACCGCACCCTGCCTGATAAAGTTTATTTATTTATTTATTTATTTTTATTTATTTATCTTTTTTAAGATGAAGTCTCACTCTTGTCCCCCAGGCTAGAGTGCAATGGCGCCATCTCAGCTCACTGCAACCTCTGCCTCCTGGGTTCAAGCGATTCTCCTGCCTCAGCCTCCCAAGTAGCTGGGATTACAGGTGCACGGCTCCATGCCCGGCTAATGTTTGTATTTTTAGTAGAGACAGGGTTTCACCATGTTGGCCAGGCTGGTCTCAAACTCCTGACCTCAGGTGATCCTCCCACCTCGGCCTCCCAAAGTGCACTGCACCCAGCCCTGATAAAGTTTATTTTTTTGCTAACATTTCAAACATACACACATGCAGGTAGACAGAATAGTGTTGTGAACCCCCTGAGCTGATTTATTTTCACCAGTTATCAACATTTCAGGTAAAGTCTGAAGGAGCTTACCATTATTTTATAGTCCCATCTGGCCCTTCAAGTATAGTTCACGTGAGAGTGACAGTGGACATTCTAGCAGGTCAGTGTGGTACCCTTTCAATTTCAGGTCCTCTAAGGAAGGGAATATGCGAGAGACTTTGGGATTTAGCACTGTGAAATGCTTTCTCTTGGCTTAAGGAGCTGTTGCTTTCTCTCCCCTGTTACGAATTGTGTTCCATATCTGAGTTCCCTTTTTGCCTGGCCTGCAGGGGAGCTCCCGTGTATCTGAAAATGCTTTAGGCACAGCAGTGGCTTTGACCCATGTGGTTAGTGCGTTGATCTCTCTCCTCCCTCTGGGCCTTACTTGTTTCAGTGTTCACATGGTTGGTAGTTTATTAAAGCCTTTGTGGAGGGCTGGGCTCAGTGGCTCATGCCTGTAATCCCAGCACTTTGGGAGGCCAAGGCAGGCGGATCATGAGGTCAGGAGATCGAGACCATCCTGGCTAACATGGTGAAACCCCGTCTCTACTAAAAAATACAAGAAATTAGCCGAGCGTGGTGGCGGGCGCCTGTAGTCCCAGCTACTCGGGAGGCTGAGGCAGGAGAATGGCGTGAACCCGGGAGGCGGAGCTTGCAGTGAGCCGAGATCTCGCCACTGCACTCCAGCCTGAGTGAAAGACTCTGTCTCAGATTAAAAAAAAAAAAGCCTTTGTGGTAGTTGCCTCTGGTCCTTTCTTTGAACAAGGCAGAGGAACCAACTGAGATTACAGCAGGCAGTGGGCAGAGCAGCAAAGGCTGGTGGGACACAGGCTCATGGGAAGGTGAAGAGCCTAGGCTGACTGGAACCCCGTGGGCTGAGGAGTGGGGGAGATTTGATTGGGAAAGGAGAGCAAGGGCAGAGGAGGAGTTTAGACTTCATTCTGGGGGTCACAAAGTTATCACTGAGGTGATAGCCCTCCTGAGGTGGGATACTACGAAGGGCCCTTCTCCCAGTGCTCCTGACATAAGCTAAAATTTTAGATTATAGGCTCAAAAACAGAGCAGCCCTGGGACTTCACCACCTTAGCAGCCCCTCCTGCCCAAGCTGCCACCTGAGCAGCAGGGGACACCGACTAAGAAGCCTTTGGTGTGTGAGTGCAGTTGAGCAAACATGCGCCCGCCTTGTGCTGGCCACCCACCCGGAGACCCCGGTCCTCATCCTGCGTTGCTCACAGCGGAGGGGGGAGGTGCCTCCGGAAACAGGAACTTAGGATGTGGTGTCATCGTGGTGGAAGCCAGGAGCACCCTGTGGGGACCCAGAGGAGGAAATGACCTGAACAAGCCTCTTGTTCAGAGGTCCTTCCCCAGGAAGCAGTGGCCACGCTGCAGCTGGAAACCAGAGGGCCTGGCCCCCGGGTGGGGAGCAGGCATTTGGGAGGGAGGCCAGTCTCCCATGCTGAGGCTTGGAGGTGGGAACGGGTGTGCCTGTTCTGGGAACTGACTGCGTCGTGCTGAGGACTTGATGTCTACATCTCACAGTATGTGGGAGCCTTGGGGTGGGGGCCGGCAGGGGGTGGTGTTGGAGAGGTGACGGCTAGGTCAGGCAGGGGTGGGGGACGTAGGCCAAGTGCGGGCGCTGCCCACCCAAAACAACGTGTGCAGTGGGCAGGTGAAGCCAGTAGGCGATGGTGGGGCCGGGGGTGAGCGGGTGGCACACGCCTGTCTTAAGGGGGCTGCGGCGAGGCCCCGGTGATGGCTGCTCCGGGCTTGCAGGTGATGTCGCCAGGGCTCTGTCACCTCAAGAGAAACTGGGACCCTCATCTCAGTATGAAAGTTCCTGGTTTTTAAGTGGTGGTAACTAATGAACATGGTTTAAAAATATCATACCAGCAAAACAAAAGCCATCTGTGGGTCATATTTAGCCAGTGCTTGCTGTGGCTCATGGGAACCCCTGAGGGATTTTAAGCTCAGGAAAATCATGGTCTGATCCGCATTTTGGAAAGGTCCTTTCAGGGCCTATGGAGAGCAAATAAGGCAGGTAGCAGTGAGGAAGGCTGGACCATGATGCCACGGTCCAGGCAGCAACATTGGGAGCATGGTGGCCCCGGCACTAGGGTAGGAGGTCCAAGAAGTTATCTGCAAAACAAGGAGCACTTCTGGAGGGCCCTAGGCACCTGCTTAGATATGGGGATGAGCAAGTGAGTGAGTGAGCCTGGTGCCCAGAGGCCTGGCAGGTCAGAGATGAGGTGGCTGAGGGCCCTGAGGGAAGAGAGGGGCTGTGTGACAGGGTTTGACGGGGCAGAGGTACCACCTCTGAAACCCTTCCTGCCAGATTGCGAAAGAAGCATGGGGGCTGTAAGAAGGCCAGAAGGGGCCGGGCGCGGTGGCTCACGCCTGTAATCCCAGCACTTTGGGAGGCCGAGGCGGGCGGATCACGAGGTCAGGAGATCGAGACCATCCCGGCTAAAACGGTGAAACCCTGTCTCTACTAAAAATACAAAAAATTAGCCGGGCGTAGTGGCGGGCGCCTGTAGTCCCAGCTACTTGGGAGGCTGAGGCAGGAGAATGGCGTGAACCCGGGAGGCGGAGCTTGCAGTGAGCCGAGATCCCGCCACTGCACTCCAGCCTGGGCGACAGAGCGAGACTCCGTCTCAAAAAAAAAAAAAAAAAAAAAAGAAGGCCAGAAGGCCGGGCACTGGTGGCTCATGACTGTAATCCATCCCAACACTTTGGGAGGCCAAGGCAGGAGGATCCCTTCAGCCCAGAAGTTTGAGACCAGCCTGGGCAACATAGGGAGACCCCATCTCTACCAAAAAATTAAAATTAGCCGGGCATGGTGGTGCACACCTGTAGTCCCAGCTACTCGGGAGGCTGAGGTGGGAGGATTGCTTGAGCCCAGGAGGCAGAGGCTGCAGTGAGCCGTGATTGTACCACTGCTCCCCAGCCTGGGTGGTAGGGCGAGAACCTGTCTTAAAAACAAAATCAATAAATAAAATACAGTAAAAAAGAAGGCCAAAAGCCCCTGTGGGGGGTAGGTGCACCAGACACTGTCCCTTTGGTTTCTAGGGTGACCATCGGGATGAGGAGGAAGAGACCCACATGAAGAAGTCAGAGTCGGAGGTGGAGGTGAGAGCTGGGGGCACCAGCCAGGTGAGGCAGACAGGGCTATCTCAGCTTGCCTGGCCCAGCCCCAACCTTTTCCTCGTGCCCTCAGGAGGCAGCAGCTATTATTGCCCAGCGGCCTGACAACCCAAGGGAGTTCTTCAAGCAGCAGGAAAGAGTCGCATCGGCCTCTGCGGGCAGCTGTGATGTACCCTCGCCCTTCAACCATCGACCAGGTAGTCCTAGGCCCCACCCCCCGTCCGGCCCCACTCCTCAGGTTGCGGCCCTGAGCCTCTCTGGGACTCTCTCAGAAGGGAGGCCTTGCCCAAGCAACCCTTGGAGAAGGCGAGACCCTTCATCCAGCGTGCATCCGCCCACCACTTCCCAGGTGGCAGGACCCCAAGAAGGGCCAGGGATGGTGGTGAAGTCGCTTGTGGCTGAACAGTGGGGAGTGCTAGGGCCTGTGGGGCAGCTCTGGCATGGGCTGAGGCACAGCGCTGGCCACGGGGAGCAGCTCGGCTGGGGTGAATTAGGTCTGGCCTGGAAGGCCGGAATGCATGCGTGCTGGGCTCTTGCCCCGGGCCTGAGGGAGCCTCCCGGAGCTTGCACCCAGGTGTCCCCGTTCCGCTTCTCAGTGTGCTGCTTCCGCCTCTCCTGAAGCTCTTCCCTGCCCTGTCTGCTGGTCTGAGTGTGCTTGCCCCATGCTGGGGTCCCGCCACAGGCCGTCCCTGCTGTACTGCTCCCAGGCTGGCTGTGTGTCTGGGGCTGGTGTGAGGCTGCGGCTGGCTTGGCTGATTGTGCCCCTGGCTGAAGGCAGCTTGGACATCCAGGGCCAGGCCCTGGGGGCGGGAGAGGCCTCGGGCAGGGGTGGGGGAGACTGACCCTCTCTTGTCCTCTGTCTCTTTCTCTGTCTGTCTCTCTCGGCAGGTCGTCCGTACTGCCCTTTCATAAAGGCATCGGACAGTGGGCCTTCCTCCTCCTCCTCTTCCTCCTCCTCCCCTCCACGGACTCCCTTTCCCTATATCACCTGCCACCGCACCCCAAACCTCTCTTCCTCCCTCCCATGTAGGTAGCAGCCCCAGGCCTCGGCGGGGGTGGTAAGGAGGGCCCCGCTTCCCAGCAGCCCCCCGCCCTCACTCCCCCAGTCTGACCGCTGATCTCTGGTGTTTGCCCCCAGGGCAGGCACTGCCTGCCTCTTGCCCCTGGCCTTATGGGGCACTGGCCTCCAGGGGCCTAGCTTACAGGGTCTGGAGCTGTAGTCTGGCCCCTGGTGGGGCTGGAGAGCTCCCAGCCCCCACCCAGATTCCAGAGAGGAGGTGCTGGCCAGGCCCCAAGGTGGACAATCCTGTCTCACCCGGCTCCCCCGCCCTCACTGACCCACCTGGGGTTTGTTCCACAGGCAGCCACCTGGACAGCCACCGGAGGATGGCGCCCACTCCCATCCCCACGCGGAGCCCGTCTGACTCCAGCACCGCCTCCACCCCTGTCGCTGAGCAGATAGAGCGGGCCCTGGATGAGGTCACCTCCTCGCAGCCTCCACCACTGCCACCGCCACCCCCACCAGCCCAAGGTGAGAGAGGGATGCTACCTGCACCAGGCCTCCCATCATCAGTCCCTGGCTGGGAGCCCCAGGTTGCCATGGTAACCGTTCTCCAGGGATCTGGGCCACCCATCACCAAGACTGCACTGCCCTGGAGGCGGCTGTGTGGGGAGGAGCCCTGGTGTACAGTCAGACCTGCCCTCTCTAAAGCTTAGCACCCGCCCTCTCAAGTGGGAATCGGGCCTTGGCCTTCCTCCCGGAGCTGCCAAGGGGCTTAAAGTCACTGGGGTCACTGGGTAAGGGGGCAGTGGGACACCTGCATGGAAGTCCCTGGCTCCCTCACTCCTTAGTGGGTGGGCAGGGTCTCCATCCTCCCCGAGGGGAGCCGGTTACATATCTCCTCTGCCTGTGCTGTGACAGAGACCCAGGAGCCCAGCCCCATCCTAGACAGTGAGGAGACCAGAGCAGCAGCCCCTCAGGCCTGGGCCGGCCCCATGGAGGAGCCCCCTCAGGCACAGGCGCCTCCCCGGGGGCCAGGCAGCCCTGCAGAGGACTTGATGTTCATGGAGTCTGCAGAGCAGGCTGTCCTGGCTGCTCCCGTGGAGCCTGCCACAGCTGACGCCACGGAGATCCACGATGCAGCTGACACCATTGAAACTGACACTGCCACTGCTGACACCACTGTTGCCAACAACGTACCCCCCGCCGCCACCAGCCTCATTGACCTATGGCCTGGCAACGGGGAAGGGGCCTCCACACTCCAGGGTGAGCCCAGGGCCCCCACGCCACCCTCGGGTACTGAGGTCACCCTGGCAGAGGTGCCCCTGCTGGATGAGGTGGCTCCGGAGCCACTGCTGCCAGCAGGCGAAGGCTGTGCCACCCTTCTCAACTTTGATGAGCTGCCTGAGCCGCCAGCCACCTTCTGTGACCCAGAGGAAGTGGAAGGGGAGTCCCTGGCTGCCCCCCAGACCCCAACTCTGCCCTCAGCCCTTGAGGAGCTGGAGCAAGAGCAGGAGCCGGAGCCCCACCTGCTAACCAATGGCGAGACCACCCAGAAGGAGGGGACCCAGGTGCGGCAGGGACTGCCTGGTGGGAGGGATGGGAGGGAGTGGGGGCTGAGCAGGGTGCTGGCCCTGCATTCCTCATGCTTGCACCAGTACCCCCTTCTCTGTGACCCACATTATTTGAGGGGAAGTCCATCCCACCCTCCCTCCCTGGGCCGGCTCTGCTTTTGTTCCCAAGGCAGGCATCCTTGTTTCCCTGGCAACCACTGATGGAATCATTGGTTGCTGGGGAAACGGGCTCAGGCCTGATAGGTCAGCCCCAGTCCTGCTGGGTGGGGCCAAGTGACCTGATGCTTTCCCCTGCAGGCCAGTGAGGGGTACTTCAGTCAATCACAGGAGGAGGAGTTTGCCCAATCGGAAGAGCTCTGTGCCAAGGCTCCGCCTCCTGTGTTCTACAACAAGCCTCCAGGTAGTACTGGGCTGGATGATGGGGAGGAATTTGGGTGCGGGGGCTGGATTTGAGTGTGGGTAGCCACCCCACCACTACCCACCGCTCACAGAGGCTGGGGACACAAGCGGTCTGCTAGGTCCCTAACTCCTCTCCCTTTCTAACGCCACAGAGATCGACATCACATGCTGGGATGCAGACCCAGTTCCAGAAGAGGAGGAGGGCTTCGAGGGTGGTGATTAGCGGTGGCGCCAGCCCTAGGCTACCCTTGCCAAGGCCGCCCACCTGCATCAGCCTCTGGCCAGACGGCCCGCCGTGCCTGCATTCGCAGCAGCTCCGCCTGGCACCCACTCCGGATTCCGGCCCTGGCTGGGGACTTGGCCGCTTCCCTACCCACAGGGCCTGACTTTTACAGCTTTTCTCTTTTTTTAAAAAGTTGATAGGAGACTTGTACAGTTGACTGGCTTTCCTCTCGTTGGTAGTTGAGACGCTGTTGCAAATTCCACCCCTCCTTCCCTGGTCCAGATTGTAGCTCTTAGTCCTCCCTGCTCAGCTGGCCGGGTTGGAGGCCTCACCCTGCTTGGGGCCTGGCGTGGGGGGAGCTCTGGTGGGAAAATGTCCCCCACCTCTTTTCCTAGTTTTATGTTTCTTGGGAAAATATCACTTTGTATTCTCTGTCCAGGGCTTCAGATATTTTGCACGAATTTTAAAACATGGCAATAAATGGCTCGTGGGCTCTGGCTCCCTGGGACCCCCTCCCCGCCCTTCTTTTGACCCCTTCCTGTCTGGCCCAAAGGAAGTAGCAGGCCCAGCTGGGGCCCCTCGGCTACCCCCCGTCTCCTGCCGGGCAGGTCCCAGGTTGGAGGCCCTAGGCGCGGTTCAGGTCAGGGCTATGGATGGGGCCCAGGGGCTTTGGTGGCCCCTCCCCAACTCCTTCCTCTTTGCTTGGGTTCCTTTTTCACGTTTAGTAACTGTTTTTTTTTTTTTTTTTTTTTTTTTTTTGGAAAGCACAAACTTCTGTAACGGGTCGTGCTCATGTCTGTTAATAAAGAAATCCAGATCCCTTCGGGCTGCCGCCTGCCCTGACCCAGGTTCCCAACTCCTCCCACCTCCGAGGCCGCAGCACCTCCTTGCCACCAGGGGGCGTCCTCACCCTAATTCCAAGGCCCGCCAGGCGGGGGCGGGGTGGGGGGGCGGTGCTAGGGGCTAAGGCTCCCAGGGGAAGCCGCTTGGCACCTACAACCACCGGAGAAGGGTTGGTCTTAGACTTAGTGCTGTACCCTTAGGTTCTGTTGTGGCGGAAACGCACGTTGAGGGTCCTTCCCGCCAAGGCCCCGGCTTGTCTGGTCACACAGAACCCTGGGCGAAAGCAGCCGGTGCACCCTCCGCTTGTACCAAACCAGATCACACACCTTTATTATCCTCAAAATGTAACAAACGGGATAAGAAATCCCTCCCTCCCCCCGCCCCTCCCCGCAGTCCAGGGAAGCATTTAAAAAGCCCCGCAGTCAGGCCAGGAGTCCGCCGGTGGGGCCCGGGGCGCCGGGCGCCCCTCTATACGGCTGTAGTCCTCCCGAACAAGGGGATGGAGACCGGCAGACGCCAAGCTCCGTGCTCCAGGGGCTCGCGGCTGCTGAGCTCTGAGTCGGTCCAGCTGGGGAAGACCCGGCGGCCACGGTCGGCCTGCAGGCAGAGGGCTGGGCAGGGCGGCGCGGGCCGAGGGGCGCTGGGCAGGTGCAGCGCCGAGGTGTAGCCCCGGTCCAGGAAGAGCGGCTTGTAGCTGGGAGGCGGCTGCTCCTGCTTCTCCGCGCTGTCGCGGCGACTCAGGAAGGGCGTGACGATCTTGCGGTAGAGGCCGCGCGTGTCCGTGAGCACCTCGCTATAGGGCGGCGGCGGCTCTGCCATCAGCACCGCCTCTTCGTAACACGGTGGTTTGGACATGTCCGATTCCGCTGCGGAGTGGGAGGCGGTCGGAGGAGGTGAGGCCGCCGGTTCCCAGCCTCTCGCAGAGGCCCCGGCCAGGGGCCGCCCGCGCCCCAGCCCTAGCCCGAACCCGAGCCCGCCGCCGCCCGTGTTCTCCCGGAGGCTGCGGATGGAAGCCCTGAGGGTAAGCAGCGAGCCCTCCAACGCCCGCCCACTTCCGGCGGCCCGGATCGCCCCCTGGCGGAGGTCGGTACTCACCTTGGCGCGGGTAGCTCCAGGGCCGTGGCGGCACCGACAGGTGCGTAGGCGGCGGGTGCGGGAGCGCGTGGTGGTGCGGGTGTGGGTGCGCGTGCGCGTGCGGCTGCGCGGGCCCGTGGTGCAGCAGCGGGTGCACGTGCACGTGCGGATGCGAGTGCGCGTGAGCCGGCGCCTCCAGGCGGCTACGGTGTGGTGGTGGCTGCGGCGGCGCCAGGCCCGGGGGGCTCCCGGCCAGACTGCCCTCGAGTTCGAGGGGCTCCAGCTCTAGGGCGCGCAGGTTCTGCTCGCGCAGTCGCTCCTCCTGGCGCCGTTTGAGGCGGCGGCGCAGGAAGCTGCAGAAGCAGCAGAGCAGGACGATGAGACCCCAGATGAGCCAGAAGCCGGCGAAGCACGTGAGGAACGTGTAGGTGCCCTGGGACATCACCATGGCGGCGGCACGGGCGGCGGGTCCTCAGACGCTTCACTGGACACTGGGCTCCGCTGCGTGGCCCCGGGCCCGCGCCACACTCTCAGGTGCCGCCAGCGTCACTCGGGGACCCGCGGCCGGGGGCTGCCCGTGGCAGGTCTCAAGTCGTGCGCGCGCCGGCGGGGGACAGCAGCGGCGCCCGCTCCTTCCCATGGCGCCGGCGGGCGCGCGGGCGTGCCTCACCCGGGGCCGCGCGGGACCTGTAGGGCAGACACGGGGCGCAGTGAAGGCGCGCCGCGGCCCCCAACGACTTCCCGGCCCCCGCCCGCGCCCTGCGCAGTCCGGGGAAAGCCTCCTCCGTGGGAACCTCGCGCTCCCCGGGGGCCCGGTGACGTCACCGAGGAGGGTGACGTCACGCCTCGAGGTTTCCCCGGTAGGGTTTCCCCGATCTGAGCCCCGGCCGCCGCCGCGGAGCCCGGGCGCCGAGGGGAGCCGAGGCGGGCCAGCAGGGGGCGCGCGAAGGACGGACTCCAGCTCTGAGTCCGAACGAGAGATTCGCCATCCGCAGTCCCGGGGCCAAAGGGTTTCAGGAGCCTGTGCGCACCAGGTCCCTGAAGAGGCGTCTCGGCGCCGTTGCTGTGCGGCGGGGAAAGGGTGGTACATCTCCTAGAGCCCCACAGACAGCCACCCGACGCCCTGTACAGACGCCTGGCAGCCCCTGGCTGCCCAAAGCCCGGAACAACTGGCTCCGCACCGCGCCCTCCGGGTCTCCCGCCGCTCCCGTAGGGGGGCTCAGGCGGGTGGCTCCGACTGGTAATGCGTGCCACCGGCCCTGCCTTTGTCTGAGCCTAGCGCGCCGCGCCGGGCGTGGGCCACACTCTCTTCCTTTCCTCCAGGCGCCCTGCCTGCTCCAACTCCGCTTCCCCGCCTCCTGCCCTTGCACAGCCCCACTTGGCTCTGCCTCTGTCTTCAGGCCGCCGTCTCCCTTTCCCTCTCGCGGAGGGGAGGAAAACTAGATGAGGGTTGGAAGCTAGTCTTTCGTACCCACCTGGTCCTGCACTCACTCCAGATGGGCATCTCTAGTTCCGCTTCCTCCTCTCCACAGCTGCGGGTGAGAGGGGGAACCTTGCACCCTAAGAGGGAGGTAGGAGGGAGCCCTGACTCTGAGAGTGAAGGGTGGCAGGTGACTGCTCACCGCCCCCACAGAACAGAACTGAGCCTTTCCTGAATGCCTTATACACACAGGTTTGAACGAAAGCCTTTGGGGTAACTGGAATGATTCCTATTTTACAGACGAGGAGTTGGGGGAACAACTGGCTGTGTAGATGGCAGGTGGTAGCACCATAATTTGAACCCAGGCCTGGCCACAAAACTCTAGCCTGAGTGGGGTGGGGGGTAGCGCTGCCTGGGCTACTTTGTGGGCCTCTTCCAGGAGCCCCACGGACCCTACCCTCCGCGTGCCCGAGGCACACACACACTGCTTCGAGAGCCACAGGGAGCCTGAGCCCCAGGCTGGGGGGAAGCCAGGCCATGGCCACCCCACACTTCTCCCCAGATGGCTCCTGTCTGACTCCATGGCTGCCTTCAGCCACGTGCCACTTGGTGCCCTTGCCAGTCCCCTTCTCCTGGGCCTGCGTTCCAGAACAGACAATGGCAGGAACCATAGCTCTGCCCGCCCCCTCGACAACCCTGCCATGAGGCTGCCATGGTGACGCAGCCCAGATAAAAACACGATGCTGCCAGTCACTGGGAGT
The DNA here is from genome assembly GCF_000001405.40 of Homo sapiens. NCBI lineage: Eukaryota > Metazoa > Chordata > Mammalia > Primates > Hominidae > Homo > Homo sapiens. Next base: position 177,453,334 of record NC_000005.10, on the reverse strand, counting down.
TAATTACATCTGTTATTCTTTTCCTGAGCCATCAGGAATGCTCTGAGGAAACTGGCACTAACTAGAGGTCCCCCGGTCTGCCAGGCAGGAACAGCTCTGGGTCAGAAAAGGTAACTCTGGGGCTGGAGGTGATGGGGTTTAGCTGAATTAGAAATATCTTTCAAGGACCACGCAGAATCCTCTCTTCAACACCACCTTGTCTGTGGTGGTTGTGCCCATTTGATAGACAGGGAGATAGGCTCAGAGAGGGGAATGACTTGCCCCAGGTCACACAGCTCAGAAGGGGAGGAGCTAGGATTTAGCCTGAGTCTGAATCCAAACTCTGTGCCAGATGTAAGTGGCAGCCATGGGGGCACTGGGCAGACAAGCCAGCTAGCAGCCAAAATGCATTCCCATCCCTTCCCACCAGGGCCCTGGCATGCCTGATCACCAGCCCGACTCTGCTGTGGAATAGCAGTGTGAGAAAGAGCTACAGGATGAAGGGGAGATGTAATGGCAGCGCCAGGTTAGCAAGAGACAAAAGAGAGGGCCCTCTGTGCCCTGAGGGCGCCCAGCTCAGCAGGTGGGGCATTAGGCCATACAGGGCAGGCCACGCCCAGGACCTGCTGGGTGCCGTCATAGCTGCATTTTATAAACTAGGCAACTTTGGGCCAAAGAGAGGAAGGCTCTTGCTTAAGGTCACATAACTAGCCCCCTGGCCCCAACCTGGCTCCACCCCCAGGTGGAGTGGGTAGGGATTTGACACTGAACGCTGTCTTCTCGGCAGTGCCACAGCAGGCCCACGGGACTGGAATCCTGTCTGAAGCCTCCCTCCCAGGTGCTCAGTAGACTCTCATCTAACCGACCATAGGTGCTCAATACATAAACATCAGAGGTTCATTCAGACCTTTCAAAATGCTCTACCTGACCAGGCCAGACTTGGCAAAGCCTCCCGAAAAAACCATGCCCCCTTACTGCTCCTTTACTATGTGAGCTCTTGCCCTTGTCTGGGAGCCTTTCAGACTCAGAGCCTGCCTGCAGCCTGCTGCTCCCAGCCACTCCCTCCACTGCCCACACTGCTCCAGACTGGTAGTAGCCAATACGTGCCTCCTCCTACCTACCCAACACATTCAGGTGCTCGGAGCGATGCCCTGCAGATGGACCGAAGTCTGCCATTTGATTACTCACGTTCTGTTTCCTGTTTCTCTTTTCTTACTTTCTTGAAGGTTATTTGAACATGTTTTAGGGTTGCATCTTGATTTATCTGTAGTGCTTTTGAACCATATCGCTCTGCATGTTTTCTCGGGCCACACACTCACTGGGAGCACGGCAGGGGGATGAAAGCGAGACCCTTGGTGAGTTTCTTAACCTCCAAGTTGCCTCTGTTTCCTCATCGGTGAAGATGAAGCTAATCATGCAAAGGGTGTGGAGGTACCAACAGACATTAGCTCTGATGATGGTGGTTTCTGAGCTGAGGATGCAGACATGTGTGTGTCCCCAGGGTGCTCCCTGCCTGAGGGTGGGCTCCACACTCACTCTTCGAAGCAGGCTACAGGGTGCTCCCTGCCTGAGGGCTGGGCACCACAGTCACTCTCCGAAGCAGGCTACAGGGTGCTCCCTGCCTGAGGGCTGGGCACCACAGTCACTCTCCGAAGCAGGCTACAGGGTGCTCCCTGCCTGAGGGTGGGCTCCACACTCACTCTCCGAAGCAGGCTACAGGGTGCTCCCTGCCTGAGGGTGGGCTCCACACTCACTCTCCGAAGCAGGCTACAGGGTGCTCCCTGCCTGAGGGTGGGCTCCACACTCACTCTCCGAAGCAGGCTACAGGGTGCTCCCTGCCTGAGGGTGGGTTCCACACTCACTCTCCGAAGCAGGCTACAGGGTGCTCCCTGCCTGAGGGTGGGCTCCACACTCACTCTCCGAAGCAGGCTACAGGGTGCTCCCTGCCTGAGGGTGGGCTCCACACTCACTCTCCGAAGCAGGCTACAGGGTGCTCCCTGCCTGAGGGTGGGCTCCACACTCACTCTCCGAAGCAGGCTGGCATTCTTGTTAGTTGGCAGATGAGAACACTTGGCTCAAGGAGCTTAAATGACACCCAAGGGCACACAGAGCCAGGGCCTGGCTGCATTGCTGTGGGCACCTCCCACACTGCCCTGTGCACACTTCAGCCTTACAGGCCAAAGCACCAAAGATCTGCTACTGGGTCCTTTATCTCAGCAAAGAGCCTACCATTCCTTCCGTCCGCCGCATCCTCTGCAGGGTGGCATTTGTCCACTTCCTTTGGTCCTCCTGCCACTGCCTTGGCCAGGCCAGCATCGTCTCTCCCCTGGCCCCCATCACCATGCTTGCCACTGTGCTGTGCCCCTGCCCAGCCTAGTCACTCCTCACAACACTACGCTGCCTCAGGAGCCAATCTAGCATTTAACATGGCTTAGATCTGGGCCTCTCAAATTTAAGCAGGCAACAGAACCACGTGGAGGCTGTTAAAACAGTGCTGGGCTCCATTCCCAGTACTGGATTCAGTAGGTCTAGGATGGGGCCCGAGTTTGCATTTTAAACAAATTTCCAGCAGATGCTGGTACTGCAGGGCCAGGGAGCACACTTTGAGAACCACTGACCTAGGTGCTGGCCTCCCGAATGAGCTCCTGCCAAGGCCTCTGGGGCTCACCTGAGCCACCTCACCCCTCAGGGATGGGAAGCCCAATGATGCCAGGATGTTCCGGGGTGGCCAGGGCCGAGCACCATCGGCCTTACCAGCTGGCACCCAGTAATTGGCTCAAGAACCACCTATGGAAGGAGATGCTGGAGGGCTCGTTACCTGGTTGGTCTTTTAGCTGTGGGACCGGGGGAGTACCTCAAGGGCTGGCTCTGTGTCCAATTCATTCCTGGGAAATGTCAGCCATTCACCAAAACGTCACTCAGAGAAGAGCCATCACCCAGCCCCCGCCTGGCAGGGCAGTTCATAAGCAAGTGGAGACCCCATGTGTCTACGTGAATCAAAGGAAAAGGCTGTACGGAGGCACACACCAGGGCTCTGGGGGGTGGGGATGGAAAATCCCGGGCAGCAGGGGCACTGGGTCACACCTGGACTTGAGGCTAGAGCTGCTGGTCTTCAAGGGAAGGGACAGGAACTCAGAGCAGGGGGTGAGGGCTGGGGGGCAGGACAGACTGACAGCCTGTCCTGTGTGCCTTGCATACGCCAGGCCCACTACTGGTCTCTATGCTAGTTATCTAAGGAAAACTCAGGAGGTGGCTGCTGTTCTCTCTACAGACAAGGATGTAGGCTCAAGGAGTGGGTCCAGCTCAGGTCTCCATAGCCAGGTGGTGTGAAGCCCGGGTGATGACAAAGTCCTCGGTCCCGGCAGCAAGGGCATTTCAGGGAGCCACTGGTGACACCCTTACACCCTTCCCACATCAACACAGAGGAACTGAGGCCAGAGAGGACTTGACAGGACTTGTCTCCACTCCCAGTCAGCCAGGCTTGGAGCTGGCCAGAACCGCCCTCCGCCTAGGCCAGGGTACTGAGTGGCAAGCACCCTTGCTTGCAGGTAGATGACCTAACCCTGACACCAAGCCAGGAACCCAGGGCTTGGGAAACTACAAATAAGACCACAGAGACTGAGGCCTCGGTGGGCTTGTAGGTGGAGAGCCCTCCCTCAGGCCAGTGTCTACTGCGCTCAGCTCCGGCCCTCCTCAGGGCAGGGTTTTCAGAGACCAGGTTCCTCCTCTGAAACCTCAGCCTGTGGCTCTCTGTGCCTTCATCCCCGCAGCTGGCATGGAAATAATGATCTGACCTCCCAGGGGAGGCGGCCCCACGGGCGTGATGGTGACACCCTGTGGGGGGCAGCCTGGGTAACATGCAGAGTGCCGAGGGGTAGGCCTGAGCTCAAATCTGGCTTCTGCCCTCACCGAGCCATGTGATCCCATCCTGGCTACTCCCATACCTGAGCTGGAGTTTCTTCAGCAGTAGGACCAGGGTGCCGAGGGGACAACAGAACTCCCTCTGATGAGGGATCACCCTGCAGCCTCAAGAGGCTCAAATGCAGAAAGCAGCCCCTGGTGTCACAGTGTACACAGCCTGGAGGCGGCCCAGCAAAACCTGCGGTCCCTTTCCCACGGACCAGAGGTCTCAGACACAGGACCCTTAGGTTGGACACAGTTCTCAGACATGTTTTAAAAACAATCCATGTTCACAATCCATTTTTAAAAACATTCTGATTAATTGCCAACATTTAAAAATCCAGGAGATTTTATATAAAGGTCTGGATTTCTGGTTCATCTTGAAAATTGGACAGTCAGGTCATACCAAGTCCACATTTCACACAGTGACAAAGATTGGAGCTGAGCGGCTCCCTGGCCCGCCTCACTCATTCCATTTCCCCCCTGATCCTTGGAAGCATGTGGGTTTCCAATGCCTGGAGCTAGACTGAGCACCCACAGGCTGCAGCAGTGCATGGACCCATCTTTGCTAAATTTTCTCTCCCACAGCCAAGACTGCAAGCTGAGCAGGCCATGGAGCCCATGAGCCGAGGACCAGGGCTTGGGGTTTTCCCAGGGGACTGAGGCAGCCCTTTGCTGCTTGGTCTCACCGGAGAAAATGGAGGGAGGGAGGAAGTGAAGAAGGGAGGGAGAAAGCTGGCCCCATCCTATAATGCATCTGGGGGAGCAAGAATGTGGCTGATTTAGCTGGAAGAAGGAAAAATGTACCAAGACCCGAAAGACAGGGAATGTCCTCACTGGAGGAAAGTGAAGGAAGAAGGCTCTACAGTTCTTCTCCTGGGTTACAAGAGAAGTTAGCTAGCAGGCAGAGAGGAGCTTTGCCCCCAGAGAAGCCTGCAGTGTAGACTCAGCTCTGCCACTTACTGGTAGTGTGACCTTGGGCAAGTCACTCACCTCCCTGAGCCTCCCTTTAGAGTCTTCATCTCTAAAATGGGGATAATAAACTTACCTTGCGCAACTGTTGTAAAAAAAAATTAGGAGATAATGGATGCAGAGCACTCAACACAGGTCTCACAGAGCAGGAAGGGAATGAAAGGCACCCGTGAGTAATTCCCCAGGCGCCCCTGCCTGCAGGAGACTCAGGCCTGACCTCCAGGGCACCACCCATCTAAGGGCATCTTATGCCAAGGCCTCCAATGCCCCAGATGCCAGTCACCTCTAGGATGCCTCCCCGGATGGGAAAGGAAACCCAAGGACGGTTGTGGTCGCTGGGATCCTGGATCTGAAGCCCGCGGTCGGGGCTGGCATCTGCTGAGTCAGGCCTGGGAGAGCTGGCAGGAGGGCCATTTCTCTCTCCAGCATGATGCCCGCTGAGGGGAGGTTGGGAGGGGAGCCAGAGGTCATTTCCTCTGAGTCAGAGGCCATTCTCCTCCCAGAGGAGCTCCCCTGGCGGACCAGGCACCTCCATGTGGCGCGTGCCTCCCTGCCGGCCAACCTGCATGCTACTCAGTACAGTTGGGGCATTGTGCTCAGACAAGAAAGGGGCACTTGTGATCCAGACAATGGGCTGGGTCGCTCCCATTTGGCCTGGGCTTCAGCTTCCCTGGGTCAGCAATATCCTTTCCTCTGCTCCTGCCCACTCTGCTTCCACCCCTCCCTGGAGAATGGTGGCTAGGAACACGGAGCAGAGACTCACCGCGGGCCCATGCCCGGTTTGGCACGTGCCTCGGCCGTGAGGAGGAGGAGGGATGCAAGCTTCGCTCCTCTACCCTGGTAAGAAACGTCGCCCCTGGGGAACCCAGCTCGGCTCAGGCCATGTCCAGGGCCGGCGCGATTAGGTGGTGGCGGCGGTGGGTGGGTGGGTGGGGGGTCTATGGGCAAAGACCCCAGCGCCAGCCTCCATGCCTCCTCCTCCCGTGACAAGCCCAGGGGCTGGGCCGCCCCCACGTTTGCAGCCACCCCAGGAGCCCTGCTGCGACGACTGCAGCCACGTGGGAGCCAGCTCGTGCCCACGGCCGTTCGCCCCCACCCCCACCCTCGACGGGCTGTGGAGGCAGGCACACCCAGCCGGGCCAGAGGGGCGACATGCCCCCGCCGCGCACCCCTCTCCCCCTGCACCCCCGGGCTGTGGGCCCGCGTCGGGGGAGGGGGGAGGGAGGGGGAGGGGGCGTCGCCGCCCCGCAGTCGTGTTGCCGGGGAGCGCAACCCCGTTGCTGTGGCAACCGTTTCCAAGCGAACTGGTGGCGGCTCGCGCCCCGTTCCGGCTCCCTCGCTCACTGGCGCTCTCCCTCCCTCCGGTGTGGACTGGGGGAGGGGCTGCTCGCGGCCCGGGCGGGGGACCGGGGCGGCGACCCGGGGCCAGGGCGCTGAGCCGCCCGCGGGGAAGGGCTCAGTCCTGGGACCATCTTCCGCCCGCGCTCCGTGCCCGCCCGGCCCGCAGCCGCCGCGGTACTCACGGGCCCAGGCATCCTCCTCGAGCTCGTTCTCCTGGCTCGGGGCGAGCAGCGCGGGCCCAGCGGACAGAGCCCCGGGCCTGCGGGGGGAGGCGGCGGCGGCCCGGGGGAGCAGACAGTGGCAGCGAAAGCGGCTCCGAGCGCTGGGCTGGAGGCGCGGGGCGCGCGCACGGGCGCGTACACGGCGGGTGCTGAGCCCGGCGTGCGCGCGCGCGGCAGCCGGCAGAGGGCCCCGCACCCCCAGCCACACGCCGCGAGGAGGCTGCCCCCGGAGGGAAGGAGGGGGAGGACGGTCACCCACCTGCGGCGCCGAGACCCGGTTCTCCAGCCCGCCGGGCTCACACCCGCCAGGGCACCCTCACAGGGGAGGCACACGCCGGCCGACCCGGTCCACACTCCAGGCTGGAGCCCAGGCCACACCGGTCGTGCACGCTGGATGCACAGCCAGGCAGCTGAGGTCGAGAACCCGGACGCGCACACAGCTCAGCTCGGAGAGCACACACATGTCCAGGTCCCCGTCACATCCTGACAGGCGCTGCGCACACGCAGTGGGCAGGGGCCCCCGAGCAGGCAGGCACCCCAACGTGGCTCCCTCCCAACTCACGACCCCTCTCGCTAGGTGCCCAGCAGGCGTACACCACCACATGCCTACTAGGAAGCCACGGGGAGGAGGACCTAGTGCCGAACCCACAGCCCTGGCCTCCGTGGACATGCCTCCCCCCTACCCCAGCAGGGAACAGATGACCCCTAGAGAGCGCCCCACTGTCTACCCCGAGGTCCAAGCTTGCAGAGGCCACTCTGAAGTTGGCTGTCCATCGGCCTCTTAACTGGGCTGTTTTTCGTCCAACTTCTCTACTGCACTTAAGATGATTTGCCAAAAACCCCTCCACCACCATATTAGCTGGAACATTTGGGGTTGAAGTGACAGAACTCCCAAACAAATAGGTTTGAGCTGTACCCCGTCTCTACCAAAAAAAAAAAAAAATCTGCACGCCTGTGGAGAATCGCTTGAATCCGGGAGGCAGAGGTTGCAGTGAGCCGAGATCACGCCACCGCACTCCAGCCTAAGGGAGGGGGTGAGACCCTGTCTCAAAAAAAAAAAGAGAAAGAAGAAAGAGAAAGGACAGAAAGAAAGAAAAATAAAAGAGAAAGAAAGAAGAAAGGAAAGAAAGAAAAGAAAGAAAAAGAGAAAGAAAAGAAAAAGCTTTGAGCTCAAAGGGGACTGGTTCATGCAACTGGCAAGTCCCAGGGTAGATTCTAGCTTTGGTCACAGTTGCTTCCAGGTGTTCCCGCAATGGTGTCAGGCACGTATCTGCTTCTGTTTGCATCACTCTCAGGCAAGCTCACCCCAAGAAGTAGCGAGGACAACCCCAACAGCCCTAGGCTCATATCCTGCCATCTATCCCTGGAGGAAAACGGAACCCCAATTCCTTCCCCATCATTTGAGCAAAATACAAGCAAACAACTCCATGAATGATTCTTTTTGGACTCATTTGGGCTGAGTCTCTATCAGTGAACCAATCTAAGTGCCTGTGTGTTAAGGGAGAGGATATGTGCTCCTTATGCAAAGGGAATGGCCTCCCAGTACCCGCTCCCTTTTCTTTGTATACAGGCACCCTGATTTCAATGGGGGAATCACTGCCCCACGGGTGCCATCCTGGTGAAACTGTGAACCCAAGTGCCCTGCTCCCTGACAGTGCACAGCAGGCAGGTATCCAGCCTGGCCACTCAGACTCCTTGAGTTTGCAACTGGGCTCAAAGAGGCAAAACCAAATGGCTCTATCATCTTGGTTCTGGTGGGTGTCTCCTGATGAGAATGGAGCCCACAACTAAGACCCCGAAGCTCCTCCATATCCTTGGAACACCTTCTAAGTTAGCGGGAGGACAGTTCTGTCACTTGCAACATTCCCACCTGGCTCTCTCACTCTAGGTATGTGTGTGGAGTATGCGTGTGCAGGGGGTGCAAGCCCAGCCCCGTCTAAACCACATGGACAGAGACTGGGGGTGCTTTTGTACATGCTGGAGCAAACACCCCAACACAACCAGTAAAAACCCTTCAGGGAATCCCCTACCTTCCAGATGAGGCCCCATCTGGGCCTTAACCCTGTGATCCTTAATCTAGCTTTCAAAGCTGGCTGTGTCTCACTGACTTCAGCTCCAGCCATTCCTTGCTTCCACCCCTGGCCTCCCATGCTCAGCCATCCTAAACCACTAAAGCCCTAGACCATCCATCTGGCTCCTCTACTTGGGTACATCTGACCCTGTGTCCTGGAGGGCACCAATTCTGACACCTTCAGGGTCAAGGGGCCTCCCTGTTTGGTGCTGCCCCACCCCCAACCCTGTCAGCTCTAGAATCCTCTCTTCCACAGTGCTGATCACACTGGGTCCCGCTGTTCCCACGTCTGCCTCCCTACCAGACTGAGCTCCAAGCTGCCAGGGGCCTCGTCTCCATCTGGGTCCCAGTTCCCACCATAGAGCTGGGCATGGAGGACAGCTCAGGGAAGCTTCTTGGGAAATGAATTCTGGGAGTTCCCTCTGCCAAGGACCCACTGTGTTAAGAGCTTTAAGGTGAGTTTAACCCTAGCCAAGAAGTTCCCTGGATGCCTCCCTAGCCCAAGGGGGAGCTGGCCAGGGTGTCCTGATCCAGGTGCAGGCAGAGTGCCTCAGGGTCCTGCACATCCACCTGGCACGCGCTCTCTTGCATACCTGCCCAGGGCTGGGCTTTGGTATGACATGCTAACACCTACCTAAAAATCCCCCACTCCCACCTCATAACAGCCTGGGGCAGAGGGGCAAACCCACCCCAGGCTCCTTTCTCATGATACATGGGTAGGATCCAGCTTTCCCATCATTACCTGGTTTCCTCCCCACCCTGCAATGGCCACTTAACCAGTTGGAAGACCTTGAGCAGGTCCCCACTCCCCTTACTTCCCTTAGGTTGGTGGGAAGCAGCAGGCACTCCACATGTCATGAGTGGGGCCACAAAAGGCCCCTTCTGCCAGGCTGCTGGCTTGGCACCTTCTGGCTGTGCTTAAGCCAGGTGGTTAGTTTGGTACTCAGCACCACTCCCCAGCAGGTGGGAGTCCTGCGGTGGCTTGGGAACTCAAGGGGCTGGCTGGCTGCTTTGGTGGATTCTCACAGCTGCCCAGAAAGGTGATGGGTCTTACACCTACCTTTCCATATCAGGGAAGCGCCTGTGCAGGGCCAACTTGAAAAGTGGCCAGGCTGGGGCTTGAACCTGGAACTGTCAGCTACAAAGCTCACATGGCTCCTGCAGCACTGGGTGCCCAGTCCAGAGGCCAGGAACAAGCTTGATGGGGCTTACGGGGCATTCTCAGGGAGCTGGGGACACTGGGAGTCTATAGAGCAGTGATGGGGTTGCCAGATCTGGGACAGACTGGTAGGCAACAAGCTCTCAGCCCCAGAGCCCAGGCAGGAAGCTCCCCTTGAGTGCCTCCCAGTCCCCCTTCCTCCCAGGTGAATGTCCACTTCGAGGCCGGCTCAACCACCGTCTTCAGAGAACTCTCCCACACTGGCCACAGCCTATCTGCCAGCGTCACCCACTGTCTAGGTCTTTGCCCATAATGTGTCAAGGGCAAAACAGAGGGGTGGATATGATGCACGTGCCTCAGCCCGGGGCCCGTACATGGCTGGCGTCCAGGTAACGCAGGCCTGGGGCAGACATTCCTTACACAGCTCCCACCCTACTCTTACGTCCACATTTAGGCAGCCAGGCCACCTTAGCCTTGGAGGGGAGGACACCAACGGGGCCCGCCTTACCAGCAGTCAGAAACAGACCCACATCCCAGTGGGTACCCAAGGCTTCTTTCCTTAGGCCCCATCCCATTTAGGAAGTTGGGAAACCCACTGGGTGAGCCCAAAGGCTACCAAAGCCTGGCTGTCTGGAGAGGCTAGTTCAGAGTCAGCCCTGGGGGCTCCTGGGCCTCGGAAGGGCACACCCTGCTTCCCTCCAGGCCCACCTCCAATCCCTTCCCGCTTCCAGCTGGGCCAGGGGAGCAGGAAGACCCCTGGAGCACCGGAAGCAAGAAAGAGGCAGGCAGGGGCGGCTAGCCAGGTTTGTGCTCGGACTATTCACACAGAGACATGTGGCAGCTTACGTTGGACAAAACGAGTAATAAAAATTGGCTTTAAATATGGAAAAAACAGGGCCCTGTAATCCCATGCTACCCTAACACTGGGACCAGGATGGCCATCACAGTCTGGGAAGGGCCAGGGCTGGGACCTGGGGCACAGGCACAGCCTCGCCCTATCCCCTTCACCCACACAGGTACACACGCGCGCGCACGCACCCCACAGGCGCACACAGGAAGGGGCGGATTATTGCTGGGCACATGTGTCTATTGTTATGAGGGGAGTCCGGAATGTTTGAGGGTTGACCAGGGATGCCCCACCCCCTCCTAGGGGCTGGGCTTGGGCGTTTCTGAAAGAGGTGTCTGCAGGACAGAGCCCAGTATCAGGGACCAGGCTGTGGGAGCTGGAAGGCAGAGGCAGACCTATCTGGGCCGGCCGGGGCAGTGGGCTGATGGGTATCACAGGCAGCCCAATCTCTGGCCACTTTGGCACAGGCCTAGGGCATACAGAGGCCCCAGACCCAGCGCTGACAAGCACTGAGAAGGGACAGCTTTGGGCCCCAGAGGGTAGCAGCCTGAGCCCAGGGCAGCAGGGGGAGGCACGAGTCTTACTCAGAGGCCGGGGTGGCCAGCACAGTGCTGAAGGCTCAGGGGTGTGACCACCCTCAGCCATCCAAGCTGGGCCAGAGGAGCCTTGAGTTTGGCAGTGGCTCCTCTGCCAGCTCCCGCTCTCCCAGCCAGGGCTGGCTGCCCCCAGGAGCCAAGGCGGGGGCGCCAGGTCTGCGGCGGGAATTAAGAATGCTCTGGTCGCTATATACATTCGTACAAATACATAAATACAGAAAGCCCCGAGCTCCACGGAGAAGAGCTGAAGGGACGCACCTTTGTCCCAGGGATGGCCCAGGCCCTGCCAAACTCAGCCAGGCCAGGGGCTGAGGGACGGAGGACACTGGGGACAGCTCCGTCTGTGTTCCCCAGGCCACGACTTGAGTGGACAATGGGGAAGATCACTGTGCAAAACTGTAAACGGCGCTCGGAGTAGCTGCTACCGCCAACTGCTGGTGGGGGCCTCGGGCTGGGGGCTAGAGGCGGGTGGGGAGCTCTTCCTCGCTGTCGCTGCAGTTTCCACAGCAATCCTGGAGGGACGGGGAAGACACGGAGGGAGGGAGAGAGGCAGAGCAGGTGCCATTAACCACGAGGGACGTCACATGGGGCCGACCCTGCCAGGGCAGGCCAGGAGCTGCCTGAGGGGTGCACTCTGGGGAGGGGCCTCTCCACAAGGAGCCTGGAGCAGCAGCTCAGGCCACACGTGGGTGGGCGTCATTGCAGAGGCTGCCGGCAACAGACTGAAGTAAGGGGGCTGGGTAGATCCCACGGTCTGCCAGGGCAAGGCCTCTGCCCAGCCCTCTCCCCTGGGGCTGGCAGAGACAGGGCACGGGGAGACAAGCGAAGCAAAGCTGGCAGCTCGAAGGGGCCAGGGTGCAGGGGATCAAAGCAGTGGGCAGGGGGAGTGGGGCGGGCACCAGACTTCTTTCTCCCACATCTTGCCTTTGCCATGGAAGGGCTGCCCGTGGCTCCCCGAGGCCAGGCAGCAAGGCCAACCCACGGGGAGCCCACACTGCTCACCTCTGGAAAGAGAAAAGAGGCCATGAGCCCAGCCAGGGGTGGGGGACAGGCGGGAATGAGGCCAGAGACCCTGGGCACCACAACAGGACTGGAGGACGCCCACTCCCAGCGCATGCGGGCACCGGCTCTGCCTCCCACCCACCGTCCCCTGGAGCCAGGTTAGGGGCCCAGGTAGGCCGCTGCTGGGGCTTACTTGGCGACTGAAGAGTCTCTGCAGCAGTCCCTTTTTAGGAGGTGCAGGTGGCTGGCCCTTCCAGTCCAGGTCTGGGGGAACTGAGCCATCCAGCCCAAAGACATTCAGCTCTTGGAAGCACTCGGTCTCCACCATCTGCTGAGGAGCAGGCGGCTGTGACAGCTGTCCCCAGGGCAGCCTCCTGGAGCCCACCCCACCAGCAGGGCAGGCCCCCACCTCGTTCTGCCAGGGGATGGGCACACTGCCTGTGGCAAACTTCTGGTAGAAGTCCTGGTCGGTAGGCTCCAGCTCCACGCCCTTGACCGTAGAGAACTGTTCAATGTCCAGAACATCCTTGCAGTAAATGGCCTGGGGCTGGTGGGACAGAGGCAACGGTCAGATAGGAAACACACACACGCACACGCGAAGGCAGCTCAGCCCTGATTCTGCCTCGGGTCTTGGCCTAGTGCTGCCTGACACCAGCAGCTCTCTGATTTGGAGAAACCAGGTGCCCCACGCACTTCCTAAGTGGGGCAGGCCCTTCTCTCCGAAGCCTGGTTTTCCCCTCTGTGAACTGCGTACGTTATTCCTCACTGCTCAATGACTGTGAGGCTGTGTAAAGGCCAATGCCAGGCACCTCCTTCGCCTGCCCACAGCTTCCTGGGTATGCAGTTGGGGCGGGGAGTACAGGCTGAATCTCAGCCGGCCCCTCCGCTGGGCACCACCACGCAGAGCCTGGAGCTGGTGACTCCCTGGCTCCCCGCCCTGCGATGACCTGGGACTTGCCGTCTTCTCTCCCAGCCAATCAGAGGACTGGCACGGTCTCCCACTGCTCCACCTCCCCAGACCCACACTGGGAGCCCACCTCAGCTCCAGGCGGCCACCTTCTTTTTTTATCTTAACATTGTTTTCTAAATCCTTCAATTAAGATGTCAATTAAAATCATTGTCATGTAAAATGGTACAGCTGCTTTGGAAAACAGTCTGGCAGTTCCCCAAAAGCTTAAACATCATTACCATATGACCTAGTAATTCTACTCCTAGGTATAGACCAAGAGAAATGGCGGCATCTGCACACACAAAAACTTGTACAGGAATGTTCACAGCAGCAATAACAGCCAAAAAGTGGGAACAATCTTAATGTCTACCAACTGACGAACAGGTAAGGAAAATGTGGTCTATCCATGCAATGGAATATTATTCAGCCTTAAAAAGGTATGAAGCACTGATCTATGCTACAACATGGATGAACCTTGAAGATACTATGCTAAGTGAAAGAAGCCAGGCACAGAGGATCACATACTATGTGATGCCATAGCTATGACATGTCCAGAGTAGGCAAACAGAGAGAGACACAGAGTAGACTGGTGATTGCTAGGAGCAGCGGGAGGGAAGCATGGGGAATGGCTGCTAAGGGTATGGGTTTTTTTTTTTTTTGCAGAGTGGGGCAGGTAATGAACACACTCAAGAATTTATCGTGGTGCTGACTGCATAATTAAAAAGCCAATGAATTGCACTTTTTTTTTTTTTTTTTGAGATGGGAGTTTTGCTCTTGTTGCCCAGCCTGGAGTGCAATGGTGTGATCTCAGCTCACTGCAACCTCCGCCTCCTAGGTTCAAGCGATTCTCCTGCCTCAGCCTCCCAAGTAGGTGAGATTACCGGCATGCGCCACCACGTCCAGCTAATTTTTGTATTTTTAGTAGAGACGGGGGTTTCACCTTGTTGGCCAGGCTGGTCTTGAACTCCTGACCTCAGGTGATCCACTCACCTTGGCCTCCCAAAGTGCTGGGATTACAGGCATGAGCCACCACGCCCAGCCGAATTGTACACTTTAAATGGGTGAATTGTATGGTATATAAATCATATAAATTAAACTCAATAGAGCTGTTAAAAAAATATCATCAAGCTTGCTTTTTCATCTACTGCTTCCACAAAGTTAAACTCCAGGGCACTGATTTTATCTCCGACTTTGAATGGAAGATCCAGAGGCAGTGTAGTTATTTCAAGGTTAAATGAGATGATGTACACAGGAAACAGAACAGACTGAGTGGCAGTGCCAGCCTCAGGGGCGAGCTGATGAAAGTCAGGCTCTCTTAGTTCAAGTAAGTGCCTCTGACAGGGCCCACCTTTGCTTTGGAAAACAGTCTGGCAGTTCCCCAAAAGGTTAAACATAGTTACCATATGACCTGGTAATTCTACTTCTAGGTATAGACCAAGAGGTATGGAGGCCAAGGCGAGCAGATTACTTGAGGTCAGGAGTTCGAGACCAGCCTGGCCAGCGGTTCCAGTGAGGCCCATGTGAGGCAGTCACTCAGGGCAGTAGCCCCCTCACTGGCCTCCCCACTTCCACTCACACCCACTATGGCCCACTCCCCACACCTCACATTCCTGCCCAGGGTCCCCCAGCGGTCCCATCTTGCTGAGAACCTGCCGGCACTCCTCTTTGCCTGCACGGGCTCACTCAGCCACACAGGTGTCCTCGCGGCTGCTCCACCTCACAGGGCTGGCCCCTGCCTCAGGACTGCAATACCCGGCTGTTTCTTCTGCCTGGAATGCTCACACCCCAAACCTTGGCATGGCTCTCCGCTTCACATATTTTACATTTCTGCACCAGCATCACCTCCCCAGAGACCACGGTGTCTAAAAGCGCTCCCCCCACCATCATTCTCTGCCATCTTCGTAGCTTGCTTTAGTTTTCTTTTTTTTTTGAGATGAAGTTTCACTCTTGTTGCCCAGGCTGGAGTGCAATGCGCGATCTCAACTCACCGCAACCTCCTCCTCTTGGGTTCAAGCGATTCTCCTGCCTCAGTCTGCCGAGTAGCTGGGATTACAGGCATGCGCCACCATGCCCAGCTAATTTTGTATTTTTAGTAGAGATGGGGTTTCTCCATGTTGGTCAGGCTGGTCTTCGAACTCCCAACCTCAGGTGATCCGCCTGCCTCAGCCTCCCAAAGTGCTGGGATTACAGCGTGAGCCACCGCACCCAGCCGCTTGCTTTAGTTTTCTTTGTCACACTTAACATTACCTGGAATTCCTTCTGGCTTACGGGTTTGTTTGGGTGTGTCTCCCACTAGAATGTAAGGGCAGGACTGGCTCCAGTGGGCCTCATTATCTCCAGGGTCTGGCATAAATGGGCACTCAGCTATTTGCTGAATCAATAAACGTGTGTGTCATTGACAGCTATCAACCTGGCCTGCCCTGCCCATCCTTCGGGCCTCTCCAGTGTTCCTGGTGAACCGTTAATTACAGGACCAGTCCTCATAGACATGGGAAGGGGAAAGCACATGACCTCATCTTAGCCAATCAGAACCTTCCCTATGACTGTCACACAGAGAAGCCTAATTCAGGGGGAGGGAAAGAGTCAACAGGTTGAAGGCCAGGCAAGAGCTGGAGAATCGTGGCACACAGCAGGAAACCCTGGAGCTGGCCCTACTTTGGGACTTTCTGGCCAAATGAACCAATACACTCCACGGTGAGCTTAAGTGAGTTTAGGTTGGTTTTCTGCCACCCGGACTCTGACAACTAGAGGATACTCTTGCCTGCTGGGTGCCTGGCCCACTGAGATGCTCAGTTAACAGGTGAGACTCCATAAGGAAAAGTGACCACCCACAGAAGGATGGCCAGCCCAACAGCCCCTCCCACTGCTGGCAATTGCATTGTAGTTTTCCTCTGGGGAACTGAGCTCCCCCATTGGTGCAGGTTCGGGTGGGTGTATGATCTGGGTGTGGCCAGTGAGGGGCCTCTGAGCAATGAGAGGCAATGGGCATCAGCTTTGGGACTTCTTTTCCCCCATGAGGATTTCTTTTGAAATTATTGGGCAAGGGCAGGCGCGATGGCTCACTCCTGTAATCCCAGCACTTTGGGAGGCCGAGGCAAGAGGATCACCTGAGGTCAGGATTTCAAGACCAGCCTGGCCAACATGGTGAAACCTCATCTCTACTAAAAATACAAAAATTAGCCGGGCATGGTGGTGGGCGCCTGTAATCCCAGCTACTCAGGAGGCTGAGGCAGGAGAATCGCTTGAACCTGGGAGGCAGAGGTTGCAGGGAGCCAAGATCTCACCACTGCACTCCAGCCTCGGGGACAGAGCAAGACCCTGTCTCCAAAAAGAAAAGAAAAGGAAGAAAGGAAAGAAAGGAAAAAAGAAGGGAAAAAAGAACGAAGGAAGGAAGGAGAGGAGAGGAGAAGAGAAAAGAGAAGAGAAGCTCTCTGTCTACTGTGGTGGCTGAGCTGCTGGGGCCCACTGCTGCCGCACCATGGGGAGAGCTACCCCAATATGAAGACTACACACTCAACGGTACAGTGAGGGGAAGGAGAGAGAGTTCCTAGGACATTGTCAGAGGCTCCAAGCCCCATCCAGGCATGCCACAAGCCAGACCCATCCTGGGGCTTTTCCTTTTTGTGAATTATCTTTATTTCTGTGGCTAAGCCACTAGATTGTTTTTTCTGCCACTTGCACTGGAAGCATCCTGGCTGATACTACAAGAGCCCCTGAGCCCCAGCCCTGGCTGGGCCCCGCCCTCAGCAGGAGTGGGCTGCACTCACGTCAGGCTTGAACGGCGGCTCCAGCATGCCAGCTCCCAGCCGCTTGAAGTTCAGCTTCTTAAAGAGGGGGTGCTCCTTCACCTCGCGGGCACTGCCCCCACGACACCCCAGGCGTTCGGCAGGGTCCTTGCAGAGGAGCTGTGGCAGGGGTGAGTCGGCCAGGCAGGCCAGGCAGGTGAGTGGGTGGGAGGGAGGGAAAGGTGCATCCACCCCAGCCCTGGCTGGCCAGGCTTCTGTGAGCTGCCGTACCTGTGAGCAAAGTGAGCGGGCCTGCGGGGAAAAGCGCTCGGAATACTCCTCGGGGACCTCCTTCACCAGCCGCTCCACCTCCTCCCGCTTGATCTTCTTCTTCCTCTGCTGGAAGGGCGACTGGCCTGCGATCATCTCGTACAGGAGGCAGCCGAGCGCCCACCAGTCAGGGCTGAACGTGTACCGTTCATTCTTCACCACCTCCGGAGCTGGGCGGGCGGCATGGGAGTTAGGGCTGGGCAGGAGGCGGGCAGTGGACCCTCAGGCCCCAGGAACGCCAGTGCACGTTAGGTCTGGGATACACTCACACCCGCTGGCCAGGGGGGACCTTGGCCAGTAGGAGAGCACAGGCCCCATCAAGCGGGGTGAATACGGCCCTGCAGGAGGCCGCGCCCAGGGTCCCCGGGTCTTCAGATTTTACACAAGAAGTCAGAAATCTGTATTTTGTATGTGAAACCATCTGGCTTACTAAAAACAGTTTGACTTAAACACAAATGTAGGCCAAATTGGGCCCATGTGGCTACCATTTTGCAACTTCTGGATTTAATATCAGCGAGAAGAAGGAAACTCCTATTTTCTGAATACCTCCTACCTGCCAGGGCAGCCCTGTGGGGAGTTTTCCCTGAACTCTCCCTTTTCATCTTCCAGGCAGCCCTGGGAGGCAGGTATGATGAGTGTTTTCCAGTGGAGCAGAGTGAGGCCGGGAGCAGCGGAGTGTCTGGTTCAAGGCCACGCAACCGGCAAGAGGCGGAGCCTGCAGAGCCAGGACTCTGCCTCCTGCGTCTCTCGGTCTCCAGGTGGAATGTGGGGCCTCATGTTGGCCCCTCCACTGGCCTCCCTCACAGATGGGCACAGGGAGGGCAGGGACTGGGGCCACGGAAACAGGTTTGGGTCTCTCTCCTCCATCCCCCGGTAGCCACCTGCAGGCTCAGCCATAGCAGGGTTTAATAAGTATTCAGCAAATGAACGACATGGCTTCACAACTGTGTGCGGCCCCGGCTGAGTCTTGGTCTCCTAACCTCTAGAAGAGGAGCATCGGCATGGGCCCTTTCTACTGAGGCCCCTTTTGAGAGAAGACTCCCAGACAGAAGTGGGTGTGGCTGGGTGGGTGGATAGTGAGGGAACCCAGGAGGCTAGTGGGCCGGGCAGAGAAGACTCACCCATGTAACCCACGGTGCCCACACGCCCTTTGATGGTCTGGCCCTCGGGCACATGCACAGCTAGTCCCAGGTCAGAGATGCGGATGTGGCCTGAGTGTGGGTGGAGAAACAGGTGGACCCGTTAACAGGCCAGGCCTCTGCATCTCACCCCACCCTGACCCACCCCAGGCACCCTTACACACCGTGGTCATCCAGCAAGATGTTCTCGGGCTTCAGGTCCCTGTGCAGAGAGAAGAGCAGGGTCAGATGCTGCTCAGTTTGCCAGGGAGTCAGAAGGGGCCAGCCCCCCCAGCTCACTCGCCTCCGGGGGCCAGGTGTGGAGCAAGGTGCGAGACTCATTTGCTGCCAGGGCGACAGACAGCCCTGCTCTCCCTGGCAACAGCCCGGACTCAAGGGAGCAGAGGAAGGATCTAGAGCCAGGACTCCCAGGACTCTCTAGATGAGTGGAAGACAGCTCCACCCCGGAGGGGCCTCCCCAGTGGAGACCAAGGAGTCTCCACCCCTTGGTGACTGACTCTGCCTTTCCTCTCTATCAAATGGGACTACTCATCCGTCCCCTGACTAGGCTGTTGTGAGGTTCACAGGAAGTCGGCAACAATCAGAGCCAGGGTTCTCTCTTACCCAGCCCCATGTGCCAGGCACTCTGTACTTAGCTCACTGGGCCCCTCCAGTAGGAAGTTGGGCCTACTTCTAACAACCTGGGAAGTAGGAATTATAGTCTCTGCTTCCTAGAAAAGGAAGCAGTGTTGGGAGCAGGGAGCTCCTGGCCCAAGGTCACACGGTGGGGGGTGGAGGGGTGACAAAGTCAGGATACCCCGTGGGTCCAGCAGAGCCCAAAGCCTAGGTCTGGGCTACTCAGGTTGGCCTGGCGTGTGAGTTAAGCCGGTGCCACAGCCCCCAAACCAATGTCCTTCTGTAGTCTGGCCTGATCGGCAGCCTTGGCCACCCCCGTCCAGGCCCAGCTGCAGTCGCTGGCAGGGAAGGACTAAGCCCCTGGGGTGGCCGAGCCCTCCCCACCTGTACACGATGCGCTCCCGGTGCAGGTCCTCCAGGCCACAGCAGATCTCGGCGGCGTAGAAGACGGCCCGCGCTTCGGGGAAGCCAGCCTGGCCCATGTGGTAGATGTGGAACTTGAGGTCGCCCCCGTTCATCAGTGTCAGCACCAGGCACAGCGCGTCCTTGGTCTCATAGGCGTAGGCCAAGCTCACCTGTGGCCGAGGGGACCCGAGCCCTCAGGCAGGAGCTGCGGGGCGCTTGGCGGCAGGGCTGCCCAAAAAAGCCTTCTCGGTGCCACTCCTTGGGCCCAGCCTGCTCCCCAAGCCTGGTGTCAACACCCCAAACCCGCCCTTCCTGGCATCCCACATGGGAGGGTGGGGCCTGGGGGGTGGGGACGGTCGGTGCGCCAGTGTGGCCAAGGGGAAGGGAGAGTCTCCTTCTGTACTTACTACAAACCTACTGTTCACTTTCTCCAGGATCTGCTTCTCGTTCAGCGCCATGGCCTCCCCTTTCCGCTTCTTGATCCGCTTTTTCTCTAGCTTCTTGCAGGCATACATCTTACCTGTGGCCCGCACCTGGCAGGCGCACACCTGTGGCCAGACAGACAGGGGCGAATGGGGGCCAGCTGTGCCATTGCTGGGCATCCAGGGGGTGGTCCAGGTCCCAACACACCCACCCTATTCACTCTCCCAGGGGCTCTGGCCTGGCCACTCACCTCCCCAAAGCCACCTTTGCCCAGGACTCGGTATTGCCTGAAGGTGTTTTTGGTCACTGGCTGCCTGTGGCAAGGGGTGGGGAAGCAAACGCTGGCTGAGCAGGAGAGCCCAAGGCCTATGAAGAACCCCGGCGACCTGGCCTGTCCCGGCCCAGCCTTCAGGGAGCTCACCTTTCCAGCCACTTCCACTGCAGGAAACGGTTGAAGTAGATGCTGTCGAGGTAGTCGGCAAAAGGGGCCACGCTCAGGTACTCGTGGGTCAGCCTGTTGAGGAAAGGCAGGCCCAGCTCACCCGCCAGCCCCTGACACCTCAGGCTCTTGGCTTGCTGGGCCAGGCCTCCCGTTCTGTACAGGCTTAGCCCACAGGTATCGTCGTCGGCCAGTCCTCCTGCTAACCCCTGAGCGGGGAGACACACAGCCTGTGCTGAAGCTGTGGGTGCTACTGAGAGGGGAGGCAGCCTGCTCAGGTCACACAGCAGGGGCAAGGCCAGGGCTGGGCAGCTGAGCTCCCTCACCAGCCACCGAGCTGTTCACAGTCTTCCTGGCCCCCAGAAGCCCCCTCCGCTGGGCATAATTCCAGGCTTGTGGGCAGGGACAGGCTTACCGGGTGAGTTCCTGGAAAAGGTCTTTGCAGGGACCCTGCTCCAGCCGCTGGGTGCAGTTCGTCACCAGCTGCCGGGGGACCTCAGGGATGAGGTCAGGACCCTGGGAACAAGCCCCAGACAGGTCAGTGCAGGGGCTCCCTTGGATGGCTGCCCACTTCCAGGGGAGAGGGGTCAGGCAACTCGGGCTGGTGCCATGAGAGGCTGCAGGCCAGGGTGTGCCAGCCAGCCTGGTTGCTGAAGTCCTTCCTGCTGCCCACCCATGAGGCAGAGCGCAGCAGAGCCACTGGGAGGCCGCCTGGCCCAAGCCCAGCCCATACCCTGGGCTGCATGCCCGCCGTGCTGCCTGGAGCAGCTCCAGGGCACTCTCTGTCCAGGCTGTGTGTTACATGTGTCTGTATGAAGAGACCACCCTCAGAAGCCTGACACTGTGGTCACTCCTGTGCCTGACACGGGGCTCTGGTGGCTCCCATCATCTCTCCATCGCTGCTCACTCACCGTGTGGCTCAGAAAATTCTGCGTTAGCTGCCGCCCACATGCCTTCCGCTTGTCATCCGGGGTCACTTCATACTCGGCCTGCAGGGTGGAAAGCAAAGAAGCTGGAGGTCTGGGCAGGGCAAGCAGCAGGTGTGGGGAGGAGGGGCACATGGGGCCAGGACCTCGGCCACCCGCGGGGCTGGGCAGGGCTGGGCTGCACTCACCACCCCATCCAGGAAGGCGACGCAGCGGCTCAGCTCCGGCCTCGTGGCACAGAACTCTCGGAACAGCAGGCGCCCAATGGGCTGCCGCTCGCACAGGCTGTGATAGTCACGCTCTGTTGGCAGTGATGGAAGCTGCTGGGTCCACAGCCCGAGAGCACATGGGTGGGGCATGTGCCCACACCACCAGGCCCTGGGCCCCCACAACAGCTTCCAGCTCTGCAGTGTGGTAGCCACAATCTTCTTCAGAACCCTCACCACAACCCTCAGGTGGGCACAGCTGTTTTGGGGCTGTGAGGCCCAGAGAGGCTAACTGACTAGCTCAGTGTCACACAGCCGGGAGTCTGGCTCCAGAGCCCAGGCCTCCATCCACCTCCCTGCATTGTCTCCTGATTTACACGACTTGCGTATGTCACGGTACTGGGGTTGGGTGCGGTCCGTGAGGTTCCGGCCCAGCCCAGCCGGGGCCAGGCCCACACCTGCTGCCTGCCTGGCGAAAGTGCGAGAGGAAGCTGTGGCTTCCGGCAGGCTCTCAGCTGGGCCTCCTTCCCAGGAGGTGGAAGCAGCCCGGGTGTGCTCTGCGCACGTGCAGGCCACCGGGGGCCTCAGCAACCTTGGGTGCTGCTCAGACCTGGGGCCTTGGCCAAGATTGGCAGGAACTGGGGTCCTGGGCCCTTCTGTCCCCTCCCAGGAGTAACCCTGTCACACTGCCCAGGCTGAGGGCTTCTGGTCAAGGATTTGCTGGGCACCCCTCAGGGCTGGGCCTGGGAGGCTACGCCCCAGCCTGGGGGTCCCAAGGCAGTCAGTCTGTGGGCTGGCCCAGCTGCTGCTCCCTCTGTCCTGTGGGCCCTGCTCACCCTAGCTGGCTCTCCTTTTCAAAGTGGAATCAACTGCCCCAATCTGCCCCTGCCCTATTCCCGACACCCGCTTCAACCACCCTCGGTGTGACCCTGTTTGCTGTCTGCTCTCCACCCGTCCCAAGCCCAGGAACTGAAACTGGGCTGAATGGTGCAGTCCTCATCCTCCTGCTCACTGGAGCCCCCAAGTCTGCCCCTCTGCTCCGGGGCAAGGTCTCAGGGGAGGCTCCCCCGGCCCCAGCAGGGCCCCTCGCCTCAGCACCCCCAGTCTCTGCCCAGGCCTCACCGAGGCTGAGCCGCAGCTCTTCGCACTGGCTGATGTGAGGGAACTGGAGCATCTGCCGCCATTTCTTGCTTTTGCCTTTGCGATTTCCACCGCCACCTGTGGGAGCAATAGGACACTGGGTCTCGAGTCCCACTGCCTCAGAACTGCCTCTGGGTCCTCAGTGCGGTCCACGGCCTCTAGGGCCCAGCCAAGGCAGAGCTGAGGCAGAACAGCACCTCAGGCCTTCCCTCTGCACGCTCCAGCACGCCCTTGCTGCGTTCCAGGACACACGTGCTTCTCCTGCTTCAGGCTCCTGCACTGGGAGAGCCAAGAGAGGCAGTGAGGTCGCTGCGGGAGGACAGTGTTCCAAGTAGCTCCAACAATGGGTCCAGCCCCAGTTGCTTCCCGCCAGGTAGGAGTTCCCCCGGTGAAGAAAGGGGAGAAGGACGTCACAGTGCTGAGAAGTGCAGAAGGCCCGGGAGGGAGAGATTCTAGGCCAGTGGGGCAGGCCTGAGAGACGCACAGGGCAGCATGGGGACAAGGAGGCTCCCAGGCCTCTATCACCAGGCCCCACATCAGAGATATCAGACGCTCAAATGAGGCAGGGGCAAGGGGGCTGGCACCCAGGACTCCCCGTCCCCTGCACACTGGGGCTTCCCCGGTCCCCTGCCTGTCTTGCTTGACCTCGCAGACACCCCATCTGCAGCAGCTGAGGTCACAGCAGCAGTTCGATTGCCTGCAGAGCCCAACAGGTGTGGGAAACGTGGGCCAGATGTGAGATGACCAGGAACAGCGAAGGCCTCTCTGACAGGGCCAGCTGCAGGAGAACGCCAGCTGATTGCTTGATTGCTGCTAGGAGGGTTTCTGGCTCAATGTGGCCAGCTCTTCTGATTTTTTCAAAAGCAGCCGGAATTGCAGACTCTAACATAAAATATTGGCCCCCATTTTGTTTAAAAAAAAAAAAAAACTCACTGCAGCCAAATAAAATGTGTCAGGGAGCTAGCCAAATGTGTGTGGCCTGTGGGCCACCAGGTTGAGGAGGGTGGAAGGGGCCTGAGCCTCCCAGAGCTGGGTCTGAATCTCTGATTCACACTGTGGCCCATCACTCGCTATCTGTGAACCTCAGCTTCTCCATGTGTGTTACGTAGTGAATGGGAGACACTGTCCACATCAAGTAGGGCTGAGTCAAGAGGTGAACCCCAACTCCAACAACGCCATGGCAACCTTAGACAACCACTTTCTCATGCTGGGCCTCAGTTTCCCCTCTGGCTTTCTAGTCCTGTATCCATCTGGCCTGGGTGAGGGCAGGTGGTACAAGGGCAGAAGTTGCCTTCTAGGGAGGGGGCAAGGCTAGGTCCCTAGATGACTCCCCGACCTAAGCTGCCTGGAGAAGGAAGTACTGCAGGGGCCCATTGAGAAACTTGCTAGAGGCCTCCTGCGAACATGCCCTGCAGTCATTGCTTCACTGTGAGTGAGCAACAGACACCCACCCCTCAACCCAGGGCAAGGCCTTCCCAGAAGGGGAACTCCTCCCCCACACCCACAGGTCCCTCACCCAACCCTCCATCCGCCAGCCTCCCACCCTCAGTTACTTCCTCCTCCCCCCTCCCAGCCACATCAAGGCAGCAGCAAAGAGTCACATGCAAATATCCTGTCCTGGGCTGCCCAGTCAGTGGAGCTCTTCCCCACCCTCCCTGTCCCCTTTCAGTGTCCCTGGGCCCCCTCCCCATGCCTCTGAGTGCCTGGGAAGAGAAGGGGTACTGAGGGAGGTCTCAAGCCCCAGCGTTGTCCCACTCCATCCTCACAGCAACTCTGCCAGAGCAGGCCCAATTTTATATGAAAACTGAGATTCTGAAGTGAGGAATCAATTCACCCAAGATGACCAAGCCCAGAGTATACCCAAGATGACCAAGCCCAGAGACCAATCCTGGGTACAGGATTCGTACCCAGCTCCCTATGGCCACAACCCAAGCTCCTTTCCCACCCCAAACATGGCTGGCATCTATTAGGTGCCAACTGTATACACACACCAAGGGTTCCCAAACCCCACCTGGGGCCTCAGATCACTTGAGAAGCCGTCAGGGGCCCCAGCCTCAAGCTCATGAAAAGCCAGTTCATGAGGTGGTTCTGATGCAGCCCGTCCAGGCGCCTGGGCTCAGGACTCAGTGACAATCAGGGTTTCCTTTAGTCTTTATGTCCCACCCCCAACCGTTCCACAAAAAGGGGTACTGAAGTTGAGAAAGAAGAGACATGTTTAAAGTCATGCAGGTCGGCCAGGCGCGGTGGCTCATGCCTATAATCCCAGCAATTAGGGAGGCCAGAGGCAGGCGGATCACTTGAGGTCAGGAGTTCAAGACCAGCCAGGCCAACATGGTGAAACCCATCTGTGCTATAAATACAAAAATTAGCTGGGTGTGGTGGCATGCACCTGTAGTCCCAGCTACTTGGGAGGCTGAGGGAGGAGAGTCACTTGAACCCAGGAGGCGGAGGTTGCAGTGAGCCCTGCACTCCAGCCTGGGTGACACAGTGAGACTCTGTCTCAAAAAAAAGCCATGCAGGTGGGAGGGGCAGAGCCAGGTTGTCGTAAGGGTTCTCTAGTGGAGGTACCAGTCCCCAGTCTGGCCATACCACCCTGTGCCTTGCCCATGGCCTGACAAAGCTTGTCCAAAGGTACCCACACTCTCCGGCCAGGCAGTGCCATCAGCAGGCCTGAGGCCTTAACTGGCTACAGCCCTAGGGAAGAAGGCCTGTTTCGGCCCTCCCCACCCCTCCTCCCTGGCTGGTTGGATGACGAGGCAGAACAGAATCGGCAGATGCCCCCAGAGGCTGGGAGGAAGGCCTAGCCCATGGGCTCGATAAGGGACAGGGGATAAGACAGGCTCCCCAGGCAATGAGGACCCAGCCTGCCATGCCATTTCTGGGCTGCACCTCGCCAGAGCACTTGGTGGGCACGGGGTGCCAGGTGTAGCACCCAGCTGAAAGTTCCTCTGGGCTTCCTATAGACTGTGCCGGTCATCCTGTGTCTTAGGCCCGAGTCAATCACAATCTTGCTGTGTGACTGATGCTAATCCCTGGTTTGAGCCTCAGCTTCCCACATGTAAAATATGGTAGAAAGGTGAAGCAGATGACTTTTTAAGCCTGGAAGCCCAGCAAAGGGTGGAAAAACTGTCACAATCTCCCTCCTTGCCCTGGAGTTCCAAAAAGATGGGTCTTGTTTACTGCTGCTTCCCCAGCACCCTGGAAAAGGTGGGGCAGAGTGGGTGGTCAGTGATCATGTTACTGAGGTGGAGTGTGGCAGGTGGGGGCAGACTGACCACAAGGCAGTGAGGACCCGATCTGGTCCTTCTGTGTCTCCCAGGACCTGCACAGAGCAAGTGCCTGATAACATCTGGGGTGGGAGCCACGAGGAGCTACACACACACTCGGTCCACCAGACTGGTTTCCCCAGCCAGACCTCTGAGCTTACAATACTGACAGAGCAGCATGCTCTGCTCCCACTTCTTTCTGTGTCCGCTAGCCCCACTAGACCATGGGCTCCCTGAGGGCAAATATCCATTCACCTCTGCCCTCAGTGTCCTGAGGCACGGAGCAAGTGGCAGTCCTATAAGTAGCATTTGTGGCCAGGAGTTTCCCCAAGTCAGGTGGGCTGTGCTACGCAGAGGGTCCGTTTATTCATTCTCCAGCTTTACCTATCGCCAACTTTGCGCGGGATTAGGCTAGGGTGCTGGGGTCTGGGCCCCTGGCACGTGGGGCATCTTTACACCTCTCCCCTGGAGGAGGCTTGCCTCTCAGACAGGCTCTCCTGGGGCTCCGGTCCCACCCTTCCCTCTTCGTCTCACCTTCTTTCACTCCTTCACCCCCACCCGCCGCGAGGGCGGCGGCCTGACCCCCGCCCCTTCCTGGGCCCCGAATCCCGGGGGCAGGTGCGGAGGAGGAAGACGACGGGCCGGAAAGGCTCGTGTCTGGGCGGGGTGTAAGGCGCAGGGCCCGCGGGCCTAGGGGATCCGACGGCTGGGTAGCCCTGCGGAGCTCAGACGCAGCGCACTCGCGCTCCACGCACCCGGGCCCGGCCGCCCACCCGGCCGCCTCACCTTCCCGGGCCTTGAGTAGCACCGTGTTCGCTACGATGTTCTCGAGCTCCATGGGCTGTGGCGCCGCCTGGCCCGCCGGGCCGCGCCGCCGGCCGGGATCGCGCGCGAGTGCCGAGGCCGGATGGCGATCGGCGCGGCTCGGCGCGGCTCGGCTCGGCTCGCAGTGACCGCGCCGCGGCCTCCCCGGCCTCCCCGGCCGCCGCAGCCAGCCGCGCACTCTCCGCCCCCTCCCGGGGGCCACCCCGGCGCTGGCCCGCCCTGCCCCGCCCTCTGTTTACCTCATTTGACCAATCACCGGGCAGAAGCTCCCCGCGCCGTCTTCCCATTAGTCTTCCTCTTCATTTTTTCCCCCGCCCCCCCAGCTGGGGACTCGCTCAAAGAAGTACGGGGGCGGGACCAATCACGTCACCTCTTCCTGGTTGGTCTGAGGGCGGGGTTCAGCCCCTAGGTTCGAATTTCTAGGCTTTCGTAGGATACCAAACTGCCAATTAGGGCCGAGCCCTCAGCCGGGACAATGGAGGTGGGTACTCTGGGGCACGCCCAGGAGGCCGAATATGTGATTGGGTGAAGAAGACGTCCGTCATCTCAAGTACTGCATTTTGATTGGGTCGTCGCCTGAAGGTGTGGCCCGGCGGCCTTTGGCTCGCAGACGGCTTTTCTAGGGTTTTGTCGGGGACGCGCTCCGTATCCTGGGCCTCCTGCGGGCTGGCAGCGAGTTTGTTTGGTCCACTTGTGTGGCCGTATTCCCTTGGGTCGGCCCCAATCAGGAGGGCGCACATCGAAAGAGGGAGAGACAGGGAGGAGGCTGCGGCCTCGCAGCCGTTCCCCGACCTCTTGCCCGGTCGCCGCAGGCGCCCCGCCCAGCCCCCGCAGCCGGATGTTGTGATTTCTCTCCACCCACTCGGCCTCGCCTTCCCTCGGCCTCTGCCGCCTTATAAGGCAGCGCTACCACCCCTAGACCTCGGGATGAGTTCACACCCATTATACAGGTGGGGAGCTGAGGCGCCGGACGTCAAGTGGCTGGCTCCAGCCCGAAGACTACGGAGAAAACAAGGCTGAAATCTTACAGCTAATCAACACCTTGTAGCTTAACACCCCGCTTCCTCCACCCCCTACTTCACGCAGCAGGAAACAGGCTTGCCCAAACTCCGCGAGTAAGGCAGAGCCGGATCCATCTAGGCTTCTCTAGTTCCTATGCATTCATTCATCCGAAAATACAGAGCAACACCTCTGTGCCAGGCACCAAGCCAGGTGCTGGAGAACACAGTGATGGCAGCAAGATAGCCAGGCTCCCTGCTTACTTGCTAGAAGTGGAGGGAGCAAGTGAGGGCAGGGTGAGATAAAGGTAATTATTCTGTAAATAAACAAATAGATGGTTTCAGAGAGTGACAACTGCTCTTCGGACGTTAAGAGAGTGTGTGACACTCTCAGGGTGTGACATTTGAGCGGATCCAGTAGAAGCAACAGCAAACGCAGAGGCTCTAAGCCAGACTAAGTGGTGTGTTCAGGGAATAGGAGAAGGCGTCCGCAGCTTCTGGGCCCAGTGGTCTGAGATGAGACAGAAGGAGCAAAGGCACTAGCTAGGTCATGGAGGACTGTGAACACGTCCAGGAGGCTGAAGTGTTTTTGCTAAGTGAAATGTGAAACATTTGAAAGAATGATTTATATTTTAAAAATATCACTCTGGTGGATTCCTAGGGGGCCAAGAGTGGAAGCAGAGCAGTCAGGAGTTTACAGAATTCCAGTAAAGAGATGGTGGTGGCCTGGACCTACAAGGTGGCAATAGAGACGGAGAAAAGTGGATGGATCTAGGATCTAGGGAGTTAAGTACCTTAAAAGAGGGAAACCCTCCTGGCTAATGCGGTGAAACCCCGTCTCTACTAAAAATACAAAAAATTAGCCGGGCATGGTGGCGGGCACCTGTAGTCCCAGCTACTTGGGAGGCTGAGGCAGGAGAATGGTGTGAACCTGGGAGGTGGAGCTTGCAGTGGGCCGAGATCGTGCCAATACACTCCAGCCTGGGCAACAGAGTGAGACTCCGTCTCAAAAAAAAAAAAAAAAAAGGGAAACCCAGGGCCCAGTGGAACATAGGGCAGGTACCTCACTTAGTGAAGGCTGTTGTGTCCAAGTGAAATCTGAAGATTCAGTGAAAATGTGCAGGTTACTGGAGTAGGGAGGGAAAGAGCCTTCTGGACAGAGGGGTATCACATGTTCGAAGTTCCGTAGAGGAAGTCAGGAAGGGCTCCTGCGTTCAGCACCTAAGCATCCAGCTGGGGTTTAAAGGTACACAGTGGTACACAATGGGGTCGACATGGGGGCAAGAAATGAGGCTGAAGTCTCAGGAGGGGCCTGGATCAGGGAGGGCCTTGAGAGCCACCTAAGGAATTTTGGACTTCGTCTTGAAGGTGGTAGGGAGCTCTCACGGAGGTTTTGAGTAGGGTGATCAGATTTGCTTTCATAGAGAGCTCTGGGCTGCACTGTGAAGGATAAGCTGAGGGGAGGGGGCTGGCTTGTTGTTGTTTTAGTTCCCAACATCTGAAGCCCTTCCCGTTTGAGAAGAATCCTATGAGATGTGGAGGCAGACCCTGCCTTCAACTCAGGAAATCAAAGAAGGGAGGTAGAATTTTTTCTCCCAGGTCTCTGGTAGCTGGAGCACAATTCCAATGTTTCCAACCAGGTCTTTGAATCTAGAGCATGTGACCGGCACAAGACATCAGGGGGATCATTTAGAATTCACTGTGGAGGCCGTGGAGGTTGGGGGAGGCAAGGAAGGCAGTCAAGCTAGGCCCTTCCTGGGGGAGGGGGATTCAGCAAGCCCCCCAGGCTGCCCCATCCATTCCTCATCTGCTTAGTTACTCAGAATTGGCTTCCTTGTCTGCAAGCCAAGTATCCTAAGACAGGTGAGAGACCTTTTAGAAGGAACTTTTAGAGAGAGGAATGATGGTGCCCTATGCTGGGGCAGTGGCCAGGACATGCAGACAGGTGGACAGATGGAGACCTGGCATGTAGCTGGCATGAACAGGACATGGCAATAGATAAGAGGTGAAGAGGAGATGTCACTCAGGAAATTTCGTTCCAGCTCTTTAAGCCATTTTCCACCTACAGCCAAAGTGATATTTTTAAAAGGGAAAATTGGCTAAGCATGGTGGCTCATGCCTGTAATCCCAGAACTTTGGGAGGCCAAGGCAGGCTGATCACCTGAGCTCAGGAGTTCGAGACCACCCTGGCCAACATGGTGAAACCCCATCTCTACTAAAATATAAAAAATTAGCCGGGCATGGTGGTGCGGGCCTGTAGTCCCAGCTACTCAGGAGGCTGAGGCATGAGAATCGCTTAAGCCCTGGAGGTGGAGGTTGCAGTGAGCCAAGATCATGCCAGTGCATTCCAGCTTGGGCAACAGAGCGAGACTCCATCTCAAAAATAAATAAATAAATAAGAGGGAAAATCTGCCACCAACCATCTGAGATGTGCACATCTAGGAATCTATCTTACAAATATCATTGCACTTAGTCGGGTGCTGTGGCTCACGCCTGTAATCCTAGCACCTTGGGAGGCCGAGGTGGGTGGATCACGAGGGAAGGAGTCTGAGAACAGCCTGGCCAACATGGCAAAACCTATCTCTACTAAAATTTAAAAAAATTCACCAGGTGTGGTGGCGGGTGCCTGTAATCCCAGCTACTTGAGAGGCTGAGGCAGGAGAATCGCTTGAACCTGGGAGACGGAGGTTGCAGTGAACTGAGATCGTGCCATTGCACTCTAGCCTGGGGGACAGAGTAAGACTCTGTCTCAAAAGAAACAAATATCGTTGCACTCAAGCAAAATAAGAAATGCTTAAGGCTGGTGGGGCCTGGTGGCTCACACCTGTAATCCCAATACTTTGGGAGGCAGAGGCGGGAGGATCACTTGAGACCAGGAGTTCAAGACCAGCCTGGCCAACATGGCAAAACCCCATGTCTACTAAAAGTCCAAAACTTAGCCAGGTGCAGAGGTTGCAGTGAGCGGAGATTGTGCCACTGCACTCCAGCGTGGATGACAGAGTGAGACTCTGTCTCAAAAAAAAAAAAAAAAAAAGAAATGTTTAAGGCTATTCATTGCAGCATTGTCCAAAAAGATGGATCATACTAATTGTCCTTAATAGAGACTGATTAAGTAAAATGTCCTTTCCTACCCAGGAATACGATGTAGCTATTTAAAAAAAAAGCGTGGAAGTGCTTGTATACTGATATAAACAATCTCCAAGATATATTGTTAAGTGGAAAAAATCAGGGTGCAGAACAGTGTGTAAGGCTTGCATAAGAAGTGTCTGGGCTGGGCACAGTGGCTCAGCCTGTAATCCCAGCACTTTGGGAGGCCGAGGCGGGCGGATCACCTGAGGTCAAGAGTTCAAGACCAGCCTGGCCAACATGGGGAAAGCCCATCTCTACTAAAAAACACAAAGATTAGCTGGGAATGGTAATCCTAGCTACTCAGGAGGCTGAGGCAGGAGAATTGGTTGAACCCAGGAGGTAGAGGTTGCAGTAAGCAGAGATGTTGCACTCCAGCCTGGGTGACAGAGTGAGACTCTGTCTCAAAAAAAAGGAAGGGTCTGGATAGATTAGGTTCTGCTGCAGTAACAAACAATCCCAAGTTTAAGTGACCTAAAGCAACAAAAGTTCATTTCCTGCATACACCACATGTCTAACACAGCTTGTTGGGTGGTGGGGTGGCACTACACATAGTAGTCACTCAGGGCCCCAGCGTAGTAGGGGCTTCATTGCAGTTTGTGCTTCTACAATGGCAGGTGGTGAAAGGAAATGGGAAATTTGGTAAATCATACAATAGTCCTTAAAGCTCGCACCCAAAAGTGACACAAGTCACTTCTGCTCACATTTCATTGGTCAAAGCAAACCACATGGCCACAAGTAGCTTTCAAGGGGTGGGGAGAAGGGCTGGCATGGTGGCTCATGCCTGTAATCCCTGCACTTTGGGAGGCCAAGGCTGGTGGATCACCTGAGGTCAGGAGTTTGAGACCAGACCGGCCAACATGGTGAAAACCTGTCTCTACTAAAAATACAAAAATTAGCCAGGCGTGGTGTTGTGCACCTGTAGTCCCAGCTACTTGGGAGGCTGGGGTGGGAGAATCGCTGGAACTCAGGAGGCAGAGGCTGCAGTGAGCCGAGATCGTTCCACTGCACTCCAGCCTGGGAGATAGAGTGAGACTCTGTCTCAATAAATAAATAAATAAATAAAGGAGTGGGGAGACACAACATTACTATGGCAGATTATATTTTCTAAAGATGAGTGTAACAATGCATTCCCATCCCATGGGCACCTCTGCAATGGAACCTTGCCACCCCCACAGCAAGAGATAGAGTTTAATTTCCCTCCCCTTGAATTTGGTCTGACCTTAATGACTCTCTTGTCATCGGTAGAATATGGTGGAAATGATGCAGAGTGAAGTCTGAGGCCAGGTCAGGAAAGGCCATATGGCCTGGCTGTCATAAAATGCCGGCTCCCCAGAACTGTCCTCTTGGGCTCTTTCCTCACAGTCAGCTGCTGCTGTGAGAAGCCCTAGCCAAATGGAGAGGCCACATGTGTGTGCTCTACTGTGGTTGACAATCCCAGCTGAGCCCAGGACGCTGGGATGATCCAGTCATCCCACCCCCAGCACCAGACATGTGAGTGAAGAAGCCTCCATATGATAATTCTAACCCCTGGCAATTTGAGTCACCC
The DNA here is from genome assembly GCF_000001405.40 of Homo sapiens. Classification (NCBI taxonomy): domain Eukaryota; kingdom Metazoa; phylum Chordata; class Mammalia; order Primates; family Hominidae; genus Homo; species Homo sapiens. The sequence continues at coordinate 177,421,185 of NC_000005.10, read as the reverse complement.
CCAGCCATGCAAGTATCCAGCTGAGGTCCCTGGCATCTTCCCTGCTGAGTCCTGCCTGAATTCCTGACCCACAGAATCCATGAGCATGATAAAACAGGCCACTAAGTTTGGAGTAGTTTATAATGCAGAAGCAGGTACCTGGCATCACTCCTATAGGCCTGGAAGGATAAAAGAATTGGAAATGTTTGGTGAACAACACTAACAACCACCACAGACAGTTTTGCTTATATATATGTTGCCACCTTGGGAAGGCCACGTGAGGCAGCAGAAATGCTGCTTGCATCTGGGAAGGGGTAGTTAAATGGCTGGGGATGGGGGTGGGAGGGAGGTTTTTCACCTCCCTTTTTGCACCTTTAATCTTGCATTGTGTGACTGGATGGCCTGTCTTAAAAACAATCAGCCGGATCCTGTCACTCTTACTCAGAACTCTCCAGTGGCTGCCTGTGGTAGGCAACCTCTAAGGTACCCCTGCCACCACGGATCTCTGCTTCTTCCTGGTCCGTGGATCTCTGCTTCTTCCTGGTCCGTGGATCTCTGCTTCTTCCTGGTCCGTGGATCTCTGCTTCTTCCTGGTCCGTGGATCTCTGCTTCTTCCTGGTCCGTGGATCTCTGCTTCTTCCTGGTATTCACAGCCTTAAGATCCCCTTAAGTGTCAGGTGGACCTCCTGACTCACTTTTTTTTTTTTTGAGATGGAGTTTTGCTCTCCTTACCCAGGCTGGGGTGCAATGGCATGATCTCAGCTCACTGCAACCTCCACCTCCTGGGTTCATGCAATTCTCCTGCCTCAGCCTCCCGGGTAGCTGGAATTAAAGGCACTCACCACCACGCCTGGCTAATTTTTTGTATTTTTAGTAGAGACGGGGTTTCACCATGTGGCCAGGCTGGTCTCAAACTCCTGATCCGCCCGTCTCGGTCTCCCAAAGTGCTGGGATTACAGGTGTGAGCCACTACACCCGGCATTTTTTCTTTTTCTTTTTTTCTTTTTTTTTGTTTTTGAGATGGAGTCTCGCTCTGTGGAAGTCTCGCTCTGTTGCCAGGCTGGAGTACGGTGGCTTGATCTCCACTCACTGCAACCTCTGCCTCCCAGGTTCAAGCAATTCTCCTGCCTCAGCCTCCCGAGTAGCTGGGACTACAGGCGCGTGCCACTACGCCCAGTTAATTTTTGTAGAGATGGGGTTTCACCATGTTGGCCAGGCTGGTTTTGAACTCCTGACCTCAAGTGATCTGCCCATCTCTGCCTCCCAAAGTGCTGGGATTACAGGCGTGAGCCACCAGGCCTGGCCTGCCCCCGGCCTTTTCTTTTTTTCAGAGTCTCGCTCTGTCGCCCAGGCTGGAGTGCAGTGGTGCAATCTCGGCTCACTGCAAACTCCGCCTCCCGGGTTTAAGCAATTCTCCTGCCTCAGCCTCCGGAGTAGCTGGGATTACAGGCGCTGCCCACTACGCCTGGTTAATTTTTGTATTTTTAGTATAGATGAGGTTTCACCATGTTAGCCAGGCTGGTTTCAAACTCCTGACCTTGGGTGATCTGCCTGCTTCGGCTTCCCAAAGTGCTGGGATTTCAGGCGTGAGCCACTGGGCCGGGCCACGTTTTTTTTCCCTAAGAGACAGGGTCTTGCTCTGTCACTCAGGCTCGATCACAGCTTACTGCAGCCTCCACCTCCTGGGCCCAATCGATCAGCCTACATCAGCCTCCCGAGTAGCTGGGACTACATGCGCATGCCACCATACCCAACTAATTAATTTTTTTGTAGAGATAGGGTCTCCCTCTGTTGCCCAGGCTGGTCTCAAACTCCTGGCTCAAGCAATCCTCCCTCCCTGGCCTCCTAAAGTCTTGGGATTACAGGCATGAGCCATGGCACCCAGCTTGACTCACTTCCAATGGAAGGAATGCAGCCAAAGTGATGGAATGTCATTTCCAACATGAGATTACTAAAAGATTGTGGCTACCATCTTACGTAACTCCTCTTGCTCCCTCACTGGCTCAGTCTGAGAGAAACCACCTGTTAGGTTGTGAGATGGAGAGACCCTATGTGGCAGGCAACTGATGTCTCTAGCCAACAGCTTTGTAAGTGAACTTGGAAGTGGATCCTTCCCCCGGCAGCCTCAGCTGACCCTCCGATGCAGCCTTGTGAGAGATGCTGATCCAGTGGCACTCAGTTAAAAAGTGCCGGGTTCCTGACCCATAGAAACTGTGACCCATAAATATCTTTTTTAAAAAGAGTTTATGGCCGGGAGTGGTGGCTCACACCTGTAATCCCAGCACTTTGGGACGCCAAGGTGGGTGGATCACCTGAGGTCAGGAGTTCAAGACCAGCCTGACCAATATAGAGAAACCCCATCTCTACTAAAAATACAAAATTAGCCAGGCGTGGTGGCACATGCCTGTAATCCCAGCGACTCAGGAGGCTGAGGCGGGAGAATTGCTTGAACCCGGGAGGCAGAGGTTGCGGTGAGCCGAGATCGTGCCATTGCACTCCAGCCTGGGCAACAAGAGAGAAACTCTGTCTCAAAAAAATAAAATAAAAGCTTAATTGGCCAGGAGCAGTGGCTCACGCCTGTAATCCCAGCACTTTGGAAGGCCAAGGCAGGCCAATCATGAGGTCAGGAGTTCGAGACTAGCCTCGCCAACATAGTGAAACCCCATCTCTACTAAAAATATAAAAATTAGCCAGGTGTTGTGGTGGGCACTTGTAGTCCCAACTACTTGGGAGGCTGAGGCAGGAGAATCCCTTGAACCTAGGAGGCAGAGGTTGCAGTGAGCCAAAATCGTGTCACTATACACTCCAGCCTAGGCAACAGAGCGAGACTCTGTCTCAAAAAAAAAAAAAAAAAAAGAGTTTAATTGATGTGAGGCTGGCCCACGTGAGAGAACTGGAGTTATCATTGAAATCAGTCTCCATAAATGTCATTTTAAGCTGCTAAATTTTGGGACAATTTGTTATGCAGCCATAGATAATTAATACACTTCTCATTACACTTAAAAAATAAAACCTCCTTGAGGCTGCAGTGAGCCATGATCATACCATTGCACTCCAGCCTGGGTAACAGAGCAAGAACTGTCTCCAAAAAAATAAATAAATAAATAAATAATAATTTAAAAAAACCTCCTGTAGTCCCAGCTACTTGGGAGGATGAGGTGGGAGGCTCACTTGATCCTAGGATTTCAAGGCCAGCCTGGGCAACAACATAGTGAGACTTAGCTCTACAAAAAATAAACAATTAAAATGTTAAAAACCCTATGTTCTTCCCCGTGGCCCACAATGGCCCAACTTGATCCGGGCCCTGCTTCCCTCTCCAGCGTTATTTCATGCCCTCTCCTTCTCATTCGGTGTGCACCAGCAGCCACACGCTGAGCTTCTTCCTGCTTCCATCAGGAGCTGCACTGTCCAACATGGTAGCACCTAGTCACATGTGGCTACTTAAATTAATTAAATTTGGCCGGGTGCGGTGGCTCATGCCTGTAATCCCAGCATTTTGGGAGGGCGAGGTGGGTGGATCACCTGAAGTCAGGAGTTCAAGACCAGCCTGGCCAACATGGTGAAAACCGTTTCTACTAAAAATACAAAAATTAGGCGGGTGTGGTGGCAGGCACCTGTAATCCCAGCTACTTGGGAGGCTGAGGCAGGAGAATTGCTTGAACCCGGGAGGCGGAAGTTGAAGTGAGCCAAGATCGTGCCATTGCACTCCAGCCTGGGCGACAAGAGCGAGACTCCATCTCAAAAAAAAAAAAAGACTGTATCTCAACAGTTCAACAGTCTGACTGGGGAAGCAACAGTACCACCAGCCAAGGTGTGAAGGATGGCAGGCTGGGTACCTTCTGATCCCCCCAACGTCTCCTTGAACAGGCAGTTCTGCAACCACATGAAATCTATGTCCCAAGTCCCTGCTAAAGAGGAAGTGGGGGCCGGGCATGGTGGCTCACACCTGTAATCCCAGCACTTCAGGAGGCCGAGGTGGGCAGATCACAAGGTCAGGAATTTGAGACCATCCTGACCAACATGGTGAAACCCCGTCTCTACCAAAAATACAAAAATTAGCTGGATGTGGTGGCAGGTGCATGTAATCCCAGCTACTCAGGAGGCTGAGGGAGAATCGCTTGAACCTGGGAGGCGAAGGTTGCAGTGAGCCGAGATCGTGCCATTGCACTCCAGCCTGGGAGACAGAGCGAGACTCTGTCTCAAAAAAATAAAAATAAAGAGGAAGGGGATTTGTGTGTGTCTGTGTGTATCCAGAAACCTGTGAGCAGGACTCAATGGTTTCTCATCCCATGGACCCACCGCCCAGCTGCAGAAAGACAGAAGCCAGGTCAAGGGGACACTGCCTTTCTGCTCTGGTCTACAGCAATTGGTGGAAGACAGCCAGATGTGCAAGAAGATCTGGGGACAAGTGTGCAGAAATTATAGAGAAAAATGTATCCACATTGGAAAGTTTCTTTGTACACCTCTATGGATTGAGCTCCAACCACACGCCAGGCTCTGCCTTTTCACATGCAATCCCATTCAAACACCTCAACAAGTCTACCAGACAGCATGAGTGCCCATCCCTCCCTACAGAGATGTGGCAATGCAGATTGAGAGAGGCCGAGCTCCTTAGCCGTCATCACACTGCGGGGCGGTGGCCAAGGTGGGAGTGGAAGCCTTCCTGACTCAAGTCCAGTGCTTCCCTACCCTGCTTCTAAGGTCAGTATTTTCCCGTCCTTTAAACTACTGACTTACCCATCATGATCACATGAAGGGGTTTGTTTTGTTTTGTTTTGTTTTGGGAACTTCCTGGTAACAGTGTATGAAGTCTGGCAGCATAAGTTAGGACTTTTGGTTGAAACTAAAATTAGCTCAGGCAAAAAAAGGAATTTTGGGGTTCAGGTAACAGAAAAGCATAGGTGGTGGTTCTGACTTCAAGCGTCTCTGGATGCTGGGTCTCAAATGGTGTCATTCAAAATCTGTCTTTTTCTTTTTCTT